>NC_000003.12:163099513-163402543 GCF_000001405.40 Homo sapiens
CAAATGTGATGACAAATATCTACTAGACATTTTGAGCTTTGAGTAGATATATTCATCTTTGGGCTGGATGGTTTATATCTCATGACAAATATAAATGATAATGATCACCACCAGCAGCATCTAGCAGAGTCTATTAGATGAAAGATGTGGCAGCAGCAGGTCTTGCCATGTGTCGTGGTAACACAGGATTAAGCAATTTTTGTGATGACAAATGATATTCAAGGTGGCCAATTGTTAAATGAAAAATGAAACTCACTTTATTTTGTTTAGTTTTCTGTTTATTATTGATCATAATATGTACATACTTTTCATTTGGAATTTTTAAAGATGGAGAGAAAAAAGATTAAGTAATGTGAACTAAATTTTTGTAGAAGGATTTGTGCTAAGTTTTACATACATTTTCTAATTTAATTGCAAAATATTTGTTTGTGAATAGCTTATCTAAATTTTATTTACAAAGAACTTCAGTTTGGGGAGGATTATATCATTTTCCCAGGGTCCTTATTGGTGATAAATAGATACCTCATCTCTTCTGAGCAGAAGGTCTTTGAAACTATTTTATAATAAGAATCCACATTCAATTTCCATTGAGTAAAATAAAAGTATTATAATTCAAATTCAACAGTGCATATAAAAATAATATTTTGTATACTTGGTACTGTTTGATGTTTTCCATTAATATATTTGTATTTTTTGACTTCCAGTTTACCCTTTGATTTGAAAAAAAAAAGAAGTATTATCACATTTTTTGAATAAACACTTTTTTATAATTTTATTTTATTTATAATGGAATCTTGGTTATAAACTGTATTTCAAGGAAATTTGATGCAAGTGAGTTTAAGTATTTGAAAATATATAAAAAGTGGTGCAAAATTATAGCATCAGGAAATCCAAGCTGAATGGAGTTTAAAAGTGAAAACAGTAAACTGTACTTATACAGAAAATCTTATAAAGCATTATCTCTCAATTCTGGCACTAATGATATTTTGGCCAGGATAATTCTTAGCTGTGTGAGACTGTCTTGGGCGTTTTAGGGGATGTAGCAGAGTCTCTGCCCTTTACCCACTAGATACCAATAATACTCCCCAGATGTGATAGTAAAATTAGTTTTAGACATTGTCAAGTGTACCCCAGAAAAAGGGAAAAATTATCCTGGCTTGAGAAACATTATTTTGATGAAAGTCCGCAAATTGCTTTGGTTATAGGCTGATGCAGTCAGTCTTCCTGGAATATCATTTCTTATGGGCTAATTGAATGTTGCAAGTTGACAATCTGAAAAGGCATCAGAGGTTTTCTTAGGAGAGAACAGAGGGAGGTCTGCACACACATTCTCTTTTTCTGAGATTTAAAGAATGTCTCTAATAAACTCATCAGGCTATAACCACATAACATGACAAGCATATATGGTACAATCTAAAAGTAGGTTGATGTATTTTATAGTAGTAGGTGTTACAGTAAAAATTTTGTAACCAAGTGAATTTCTGATTGTAGAATGTCCTGTATCCTGCCACTTTGAGAGACTTAATTAAAATTGTGTTAAAAGCCTCCATCATAGAGAGGTAGTACATGAATATCTAGTGACCATACAGATGAATAGAGTGCTCATATGGGCATACAACTGAGGATACTTGGGGAACACTGGTTTCTACTTGCCTGCCTCACTTCCCTTCAGCCCATGAATACCATCAAGGACTACTGACAGACCTGAGGGTAGGATGGAAATCATCGGTTTTCACAATATATCTAACAATTGTTATAGGTTCTGCTGATAAATCAGGTTTTATTGGTTACAGTACCCTGCAGAATCAAGGCTACATGGCCGGGCTGCAAGTCTCCACTGTCATTACACTTGGTATGAGAAAAACACCTTGCCTTAGCCACCTGGAACATAATTCTGGCAACAACATCATTGAGACGTAGAAACACTCCATGAAATGGGAAACAGGAACTTTCAGGGAACTGATGCTGCCAGTGTAACTCTATAAAGCAGCAATAATAAACATGAATAAGGCAACTTAGCTCATTAATCAGCCTCCCAAGTTTTTACTTAATGAAGCAAGGTATTACGACCTGACTCTTTGCCTGGATTATACCCTGGCATACCCTGTTTCTTTCTAAGAGTGATGAAATTGTGCAGGGAGGTGTCAGTGGAGATATAATACAGGCTTCTTTCAACTTATAAACTAGGATTCCGGAATCATTTACTTTGCACTTTAAATGAAATGAAAACACATTTGATTACTGAACTAATTGATGAGGTTAGATAAAACAGTTACACTAATATATGCCAGATAGAAATAATAAGGTGTTAAACATTTGTAGCCTGTTCTGTACTTAGATCTCTAAATTCAAGTGGGAGAGATTTTTAAATTTATTTATGGTGAGGTTATAAAATACAATAAAATATAATGAAAGCATCCTCACTTTGCATAATCTTTACCCTTTCTCTTTTATAAGATTGCTTTATCCCTTTTAATAGCGTTAGAGATTTCAGGTCAAATGCTATCTGCTATGTAATTCCTACCATGACGGCCAGTTGCAGCATTTGGAATTCTCTGGTAATTAAGTGAAAGACCTTCTATCCTGGATGGGCCCACATATTTTTGGTTATAACTTTGCTGGTATTATCTGTCTTTTTCAAAATTGAATTTTGAAGTCTGGATAGACAGTATAGTGTTTGTTTTATGTTGTGTTTGTGTCTGTAGGGGTGTGTGTGCATGCATATTTGCATATGCATGTGTGCCTGGTTTAATGATTATAAACCAATTTGAAACACAAAAATGAAATGAAGCATTATTACTTCACTACCTTGAATAGTTCTACACACTACATTAGTGCCAGTTTTAGACTGGAGTTAGGCATATCTATTTTTGCTTCAGTTGAATTATCTTCTTTACTGCTATTGTTTTAAGTTTCAATTTTTTTTCTTCGTCTCAATTGCAGAACTTCAAGTTGAAAATTTTAGCTCTACTTTTTCAGATTTGGTTTCATACATTTCATGGCTAACTATATCTGTAAAGATCAATCTCTATGGACTGGATAATTATTGGCTGCTTTTCTGTATCAATTTACTTTGTTTATTGTATTAGAGTTCTCCAGAGAAATAGAAACATAAGATGTAGAGATAGATAGATACAGATATAGATAGATAGATAGATAGATAGATAGATAGATAGATAGATAGATGGATTGATCGATCGATGATATAAGGGAGGATTTATTATGACAGTTGGCTCACACAGTTATGGTAGTTAAGAAGTTCCATTATTGTCATTTTCAAACTGGATAACTAGGAAAGTTGGTGGTATAATTCAGTATGATTCTGAAAGCCTCAGAACCAAGAAGATGGCTGCTGTATGTCTTGGAGTGTGAATGTCCAAAAACTAAGAGCTCTGATATCTCAGTGTAGGAGAAGATGTATGTCTCAGCTCAAGAAAAGAGAGAGAGAATTTTCTGTTTCTACATCTCTTTATTCTGTTTGATCTTCCCATGGATTGGATGATACAATGGGAATGATACAATTGGATGATACAGTGTGTGTCCTCCCACACTGAAGAGGACAATTCTTCTTTACCCATCTGCTGATCAAAATGCTAAGCTCTTCTGTAAATATCCTCACAGAAACACCCAGGAATAATGTTTTATCACCTATCTAGCCCAGTCAAGTTGAAACATAAAATTAACCATCGCATGTATCTTTCGTTTGTTTATTTGTGTTCGTTGGCAATAAGGAAAGGAAGTTAGTGATCAATTTATGTAATCCAAGTTGTGGTTATGTTTTTTTAAACTCAAAGCAATTTCTGAAATGTGTTTTTTTATTAGCTTTTTCTGTTTTGTTTTGCTTTCTAATCATATCTCCTTGGTATCCCATTCCTCACCCTTTGCATGACATCCACAATGCTCAGGTTCTCAGTTGTTTAGCACAAGAGGAACTTCAGAAATTTGTGTAATCTTTGATAATTATTACTTGACTGAACTGAACTTTTATATTTTCTCCAAGCCCACGGACTGCAATAAGCTGCAGGCAGATAATATCTTAATTCCTGCTACAGGCCTCTGTCTAATTCTAGAGTCAATGGTTCTCTCAAATAAATAGTAATCCGTGCCACAAAGAGTTGAGAAAAAAAATTGAAGAACCCATGTGCATTCTAGAGCTCACAGTTTAGCTTCGCTCTTTCATCATCCACATCTTCCCGCATCAGGGCCTAGGGTTATCGATAAGAGCAGAAATAAATCTACCTCCATTTCTACCTTCCCCCATGTGTGTATGTGTATGTGTGCATTTGTATGTGTTGGCAGTAGGATTTGCTCTCCCTTTTATCTGAATTCTGAATCAGATGGAAAAATGGAAAGAAGGTGACCGTTTTAAAAAAGACTGCTTAAATCTTGAAATCTACTTTTGATTGAGAAAATAGACATGGGTAAATATTTGAAAAGCAATTTCCTCATCAATATCACTGAGGTAAATTTATTAATATCATTAACTACCTTGACATTGTCAATCAGAAAGTTGGACAATAAAGATACGTTCATTATGGTATTTTTTCTGTTAGTCTAGATTAAAATGTCTATGGATATGCTACTAAACTTTTATAAAAATTCAATTGTAATCATCTTCCAAAAAATAATCAAATCTAGTTTGCATTATCTTCCACCCCATTTTTTAGCACAAATCATTTTAAAACAAGACATTCTAAATAGACTTGACTTTAGTCATTTTTTCAGCCCTTTAAACATACCCAAAATATAAGTAAGAGTTAAAGTAAACTATCTTACTTCCCTTTAATTAAATTGTGGAGAATTTTATAAATGTCCCCAAGGATGGTCTGATCTTCTAATTTGGATTTGCCTCACATAAATAATAAACTTGTAACTTCAAAATACTGCGGAAATCTAACTTAAAGTCAATTATGCAATAGAAATGCCAAACTATATATCATTTAACCTTGAGGAAATTTGATCACATTCTAATACTATTTGCTTATTTACATAATGGAAAACTATTAGAGGTTTGAATAGCACAATTTAAACACATATTCTTTTATGGTATAATTTTAAAATCAGTGCCAAAAATTATATCATTTATTTGAAAAAACTAAGTAAATTGTTGAATGACAATTTGGAAGATTAAAATGTAAACTCATTGCCCTCTTTTGTCATAAATTTCAACGATTTTGTGTTTTTAAAGTGTGGAGATATTTTTACCAAGTTTTCTTCACATATTGATAAAAATTACATGTTTTGCATCTGTTTCTAATTCTACTATATCTATGTTGTACATCTGATTGGAGAGTAAATATCATGCAGATGCTTGAAAGTGTGTAATAGTAAAAAGTATTTTATTTATTGAATAAATATTATATTTTTCCTTCAGGTTTAACTAAAATTCATAAAATAGCTTTTCTTCTTTTTCCTTCCTTCCTTCCTTCCTTTCTCTCAATCTTCCTCTTCATTTTACTTCAAAAATGTGTAAATGTGTTTTTAAGCACAAAATTAAGGATAGAAATAGTAACATTGAAGAATTTTTATTTCAGCACTAATATTTTAATAGGTTTAAAAATTTTTAAATTGAGAAATTTTAAAAATTTAAATATCATTTCTGTATTTTTCATTGTAATTCAGAAGGTTATTTTTAATTTATTCCAAGTACAACCCTTTGTTTCGTAACAATGAGGAAACATTCTGAGAAATGTGTCTATAGGTAATATTGTTAATGTGCTAACATCTAGCTTTGTGTAAGCACAAACCTGTTGCTTACACAAATCTAGGTGTTATAGCCTACTACATACCTAGGCTATATGGTATATAGCCTATGGTTCCTAGGCTATATGGTATATAGCCTATGGTTCCTAGGCTACAAACCTGTGCAGCATGTTACTGTACTGAATGCTGTAGGCAAATTTAATGCCATGGTAACTGTATACTAAACATTGCTAAACATAGAAATTATAGTAAAAATATAGTATAAAAGATTACAAATGATACACATTTATAGGCTATTAACCATGAATGGTGCTTGAAGGACTAGAAGTTTCTCTACGTGAGTCACTTAGTGAATGGTGAGTAAATTTGAAGGCCAAGGACAGTACCGTACACTACTGTAGACTTTATGAAACTCTAAACTTAGTGTACATTAAATTTATTAAACTTTTTTATACAATAATAAGTTAACCTTAGTGGTCACATTTTTACTTTATAAACTTAATTTTTTTAACTTTTGTTCTTCTGTAACAACAGCTGAAAACCCACACATATTGTACGGATGGATAAAAATATTTACTCTAGGTTTTATAAACACTATAAATGTAGGTTAGACTAAATTTATAAAAATATACTTTTTCTTCAATGAATTAACCTTAGCCTACTGTCACATTTTTACTTTATAAACTTTTAAGTTATTTTAACTTTTTTACTGTAGTAGTAACACAGCTTAAAACATAGTCATATAGGACAGCTATGCAAAAATATTTTCTTTATATCTTGATTTTATAAGCTTTTCTGTATTTTTATTTTTATGTTTTTACTTTTTAAACTTTTTTGTTAAAAACTATAGAACGACACACACATTAGCCTAGGCCTACACAAGGTCAAAATCATTAATATCATCATCTTCCACCTCCACATCTCATCCCACTGAAAGGTCTTCAGGAGCAAAAGGAAGCATGGAGAGGTAATCTCCTCCCACAACTTTGCCTTCTTCTGGAACGCCTCCTGAAAGGCCTGCCTGAGGCTGTTTTAAAAAGTTAACTTTTTAAAAATATATATAAGTAGGAGGATTACACTCTAATGGAAAGCAGTATAGTAAGTTCATAAACCAGTATCATAGTTGCTTACTATTATACACTCTAATGGAAAGCAGTATAGTAAATTCATAAACCAGTATCATACTTGTTTGCTGTCTGTATTAGTCTGTTTTCATGCTGCTATAAAGAAATACTTGAGACTTGGTAATTTATAAAGGAAAGAGGTTTAATTGACTTAGAGTTCCAAAAGACTGGAGAGGCAACAGGAAACTTATAATCATGGTGGAAGTGGAAGCAGTCACAACTTATATGGTGACAGGCAAGACAGCATGTGTGGGAAATGAAGAGACAAGAGCACCTTATAAAAACAGCAGATCTCATGAGAACTCACTTGCTATCATGAGAACAGCATGGGGGAAACTGCCCCCTTGATCCAATCACCACTCACCCGGTCTCTCCTTCAATACCTGGGGATTACAATTCAAGATGAGATTTTGGCGGGGACATAAATCCTAACTATATGAATCTGCCCTGATCCCTCCCAAATCTCATCTCCTCACATTTGAAAACCAACCATGCCTTCTCAACCATTCCCCAAAGTCTTAACTCATTTCAGCATTAATTCAAAAGTCCATAGTCCAAAGTCTCATCTGAGACAAGGCAAGTCCCTTCTCCTAGGAGCCAATAAAATCAAAAGCAACTTAGCTAATTCCAAGATACAATAATGGCTGAGACATTGGATAAATGCTCCCATTTCAAATGGGAGAAATTGGACAAAACAAAAAGGCTACAGGCCCCATGAAAGCCTGAAATCCAGCAGGGCAGTCAAATCTTAAAGCTCCAAAATAATCGCCTTGACTCCATGTCTCACATCCAGACACACTGATGCAAGAGTTTGGCTCCCATGGTCTTGAACAGCTACAACCCCATGGCTTTGCAGAGTACAGCCCCCCTCCTGGCTGTTTACCTGGGCTGGCATTGAGTCTCTGTGGTTTTTTTCAAGAGCACAGGGAAAGATGTTGGTGGATCTACAATTCTGGAGCACTGTGGCCCTCTTCTCACAGCTCCACTAGGCGGTGCTCCAATGGGGACTCTATGTGGGAGCTTCAATCCCACATTTCCCCTTTGCATTCCCCTAGGAGAGGTTCTTCATGAAGTCTTCATCTCTGCAGCAAACATCTGCCTGGACATCCAGATGTTTCCACACATCCTATGAAATCCAGGCCAAGGTTCACAAATTTCAGTTATTTACTTCTGTGCACCTGCAGATGTAACACCACATGGAAGCTGCCAAATCATGGGGTTTGCAACCTCTGAAGCGATGGCCTGAGCTGTACATTGGCTCCTTTTAGACATGGTTGGGATGCAGGGCACCAAGTCCTAAGGCTGCACAGAGCAACAGTGGGCCCCTGGGCCCTGCATGCAAAACAATTTTTTCCTCCTAGTTCTTTGGGTCTGTGATGGGAGGGGCTGTTGTGAAGGTCTGCAACATGCCCTAGAGATTTTTTTCCCCATTGTCTTTCGGCTCTTTGTTACTTATGCAAATTTCTGCAGCTAGCTTGAATTCCTCCTCAGAAAATGGGTTTTTCTTTGCTACTGCATTGACAGGCTGCAAATTATTCAAACTTTTATGTTCCCTTTCCTTTTAAACATAAGTTTCAATTTCACATCATCTCTCTCAAGTTCAAAGTTCAACAGATCTCTAGGACAGGGCAAAATGCTGCCAGCCTTTGTGCTAAAGCATAGCCTGAGTGATGTTTACTCCAGTTCCCAATAAGTTCCTCGTCTCCATCCGAGACCACCTCAGCCTGTACTCCAGTGTTCAAATCACTATCAGCATTTGGGTCAAAACCATTCAACAAGTCTCTAGGATGCTCCAGTCTTTCCCACATATTCCTGTCTTCTGAGCCCTCCAAACTGTTGCACCTCTGCTTGTTACCCAGGTCCAAAGTTACTTCCACATTTTCAAGTATCTTTATAGCAGTGCCCCACTCTCTGCAGTACCAACTTACTTAGTCTGTTTTCACATTGCTATAAAGAAATACCCAAGACTGGGTAATTATAAAGGAAAGATTTTTAATTGACTCACAGTTTCACGTGGCTGGGGAGGCCTCAGCCTTACAATTATGGTGGAAGTGGAAACAGGCACGGCTTACATGGCAGCAGGCAAGAGATAGTGTGGCAGGCATAGAGGAAAGAGCCCCTTATAAAACCATTAGATCTCATAACTCACTCACTATCGCAAGAACAGCATGGGAGCAACTGCCCCATGATCCAATCACCTCCTACCACATCTCTCCCTCCACACCTGGGGATTATTCAAGATGAGATTTGGGTGGGGACACAGAGCCCCAACATGTCACTATCGTTATCAATTATTATGTATTCTACATAATTGTATATGCTATCATTTTATATGAATGGCAGTGCAATGAGTTTGTTTGCACAAGGATCACCACAAACATGTGAGTAACACATTTTGTTATGACATTGGGATGACTATAATGTCACTAGGCTACAATAATTTTTTTGGCTTCATTATAATCTTATAGGATCACCAATGTATATGCAATCAGTTGTTGACCAAAATGTTGTTATGTGCCACAGCAGTTGAAATTAACTCAGGAAATGTTTACTTTGACTTTAAAGGGAGGTATTTTGAAAGCAGTGATAGGACAGTAGAATCTTGTCCAAAAACTGAGAAAGTACTTAATTTTGGAAATTGTTCAATTTATGTCACAATTCACAATTTTACATGTAAGTGGTTTACCATAATAAAATAACCTAGTATGTGACTAGTCAGTAAATGGTAATTACTTCTTTTAACTCCCTTAAATACATTACTAGTCATTCCAGAAATGACACAACTTTTCAAAACAACTTAGAAGCCTTAAGTGAAACAATGGCACGACTTTATTTTGGGATGAATAGCCTTTTGGGGAGCTAGTGTTGAAACTCTCATGACTATTTACAATATAGTTTTTGATTTGTGGGGGAAGGAAATGTTTCAGTCTTGGCATAATGGTTGCTGTATAGCACTGAATGAATTTTTGTTAAATGTGTCAATTAATAAATACAAATTTATAATTTAAAAATGACTTTTTGGAGCACAATTCAAAAATTATCTCACTTTGATATGAAATTAATTTTGTCTACAGAATATTTATTTGACCCAGTCAAAGGAATTTAAATAATCAGTAATAATAATCTTATAGAAGGCTTTATCAACTGTTTTGTCTTTTTGTCTTTGAAGGAAAATTTTGGATTATAATGATGAAAATTAGACCCCAAGTAGATCTCTGTAGTATGATGAGCTTCATTTTGCCATATGGTCAACACTTAGCCTGAAGACAGGTGATACTTGAATTTGACAAAATTTGAAGATGAAAGGAATTGTGCAGTCATCAAGAGTATTTGAGGACAAAATAAATTATATCTAATTTGTTTCTTTTGAATTTTTAATTTGAAATATACATTTTATACATCAAAGAGATTCAATATTCTTTTTCTAAAGTAAAGTATTTTCATTTCATTAATTAAATAACATTTTAGAATTCTTATTTGAAACCTGGACATCATGTTTTATATTTTATGCTTTCTTTTTTCCCATCTGTACCTACAGTGTGTGACTAAACATGCATTCATTATCACATAACTTATACCAGGGAAAGGTCATAATGAAGGTGTCTCAGCATTGCCGTATGGTTAAATTGACCCCATTGTCATTCCATGCTCATAAGTGTCCAATAAATTGCCATATTTAGAAATATGTAGAGAAAGAGTACTCAATTGTGTTGGCATCTTCACAGCTGCTCTACTTCTTTTTGGCAGATTCACTGCCTCTTCGCCAAGTCACAATGAGACAGATTCAAGAGCATATAATGGTATAATATCTTCATTATCTAAGAGATAGAAATATGAATAGAGTCAGTATCAAAATACATAACTTCAACTTTACATTTTATATCTAAAGATTATATAAATAAAAGTCAAAACCAAACAAAACATATCTTCTCTCAAATATATGCATGTTCCAAAAGTGGAAAAGCTTCAGCTTATTAATTGTCAATTCCAACTCCCACTTACAGAACAAATATATTGAGCCATTAATCCTTTTACCAACAACTAATATTCCCACTGTGCTAAAGATTTAATTTTTAAAGCAGTGGAGAGAACAGAATTTAGCACTGGCAGCTACTGGTATTTTTCAGAGGCCATACAGAGGGGTTTTATTATTTATCTTATAGTTTTTAACCTGCATCCCACAAGGACATGTTTCTTCAGTCTTATAAGAGTGTGATATAAAATGAATTTCTATTATGATAATCTACTGAGGAATATTGTTCTCTTAAACAAATGAGCTTGCATTAATTCTGAATTTCTATTCTGCATATTTTCTTGCAGCAGGCCCTGCTATTTTACTCTCTGGTAGGTCAGAAGAGCCACATGAGTTTTACCAAAACTCTCTCAATAAGTTCAGACAGAGTGGCTCACAGACTAGAATTCACTAGTCTATATTCAGGAACTAAAATAAAACAATCAGCTTCATTAGTAAAATTCACAGTAGTAAAGTAAGTTCAAGCTTAAATTTTTCTTCATTTAGTAACTTTTAATTGAGCTTTGTACTTGACTCAGATTAGGATGGTTTTTATGTCTGTGTGTGTCTGTGTATGTGTGTGTGTGTGTGTGTGTGTGTGTGTGTATTCTACAGCAGTGTTATGTAAACTTTAATATTCACACTAATCACATAAAAATCTTACTTAAAATACAGACTTAGATTCAGAGTTGCTGCATTTCATACAAGCTCCCTATCTGTTCCACCGATCTCTCTTTGTGTATAAAGGTCTTAGAAGCCTTTGATTCATTTGAGAACACAAAGACCTTAACAAATTAATGCATACGTAATGTGGTAAGTTTTATTAAAGAATTGAGAATTAAGAGTTAAAAACATATCACAGACAGAGAAATCAAATCTTTACAAACACATCAGGGAAGATTTCACTGTTATGGCGACATTTAAAGTAAGTCTTGGAGGGTGTGTAGAATTTTGAGAATAAAATTATTTTTTAAAATAGATTTTGTCATTTTTGGCAGAAGGAATAATATAATATATAAATACAGTGACTCATAAAAAATCATGGGATAATGTATTTTCTGTGAGAACTGATAAACTGGAAGAATATTGGTAGAATAGTTTTGGTCCAGATTGTGAGGGCCAAATTAACAAAATTGCTTTTATACCCTATGAATTGCATAAACAAAATAGGTTAATGAAAAGTGGACTAATATGATTACTCTCTTCTTAGAAAATAATTCTAGAAGGCATTTTTAGGATTGATTAAGAAGGATAGTCTGATGAAAATGAAACAAGATAAAGACTTAAAACAATTCAGGCCATGTGCGGTGGCTCACGCCTGTAATCCCAGCACTTTGGGAGGCTGAGGTTGGCGGATCACGAGATCAAGAGATTCAGACCATCCTGGCCAACATGGTGAAACCCCATCTCTACTAAAAAATTACAAACACTAGTTTGGTGTGGTGGCATGCGCCTGCAGTCCCAGCTACTTGGCAGGCTGAGGCAGGAGAGTCACTTGAACCCGGGAGGCGGAGGTTGCAGTGAGCCGAGATCTCGCCACTGCACTCCAGCCTGGTGACAGAGCGAGACTCTGTCTCAAAAAAAAAAAAAAAAAAAAATTCAAATGAGCAAAGATAATACTGTACATTCAGGGGTGAGAAGAATAGAAAAAAGTGGCCAATTTTAAGAGATATTACTAGATTTTATTAATAGTAACTGGTGATTGATTAGGCATGGGAAACAGAGAGAGACAGAGAGCAATGAATGATGACATCAAATTCTCTATTTTAAGAATCAAAGTTAAATAACGACAGCATTAAACATGATTGTATATCAAAATTTTTGTTCTTATAAAAATACAGCTATGACTATTGATACATTCAGTAATTATTTTCACCTCCGTTATGTAAAAGTTAATAGATAGTAATTATCAATTCACATAATACAGATCTGGCTGTCTTTTGTGTTTTTAAAACTATGCTTATCAAAATGCTTTATTTTTTTTCTTTATTTCTTCCAAAAAAAATGGGATACAAGTTGCAGAATGTGCAGGCTTGATATACAGGTATATGCATGCCACAGTGGTTTACTGCACCTAATGACATGACCTCTAAGTTTTCTCCCCTCACCTTGCCCCCAACAGGCCCTGGTGTGTGTTGCTCCCCTCTCTGTGTCCGTGTGTTCTCAATGTTCAACTCCCACTTATGAGTGAGAACATATGGTGTTTGGTTTTTTGTTCTTGTGTTAGTTTGCTGAGAATGATGGCTTGCAGCTTCATCCATGTCCCTGAAAAGGAAATGATATCATTCCTTTTTATGGCTGCCTAGTATTCCATGGTGTATATGTAGCACATTTTCTTTATCCAGTCTGTCATTGATGGGCATTTGGGTTGGTTCCATGTCTTTGCTATTGTGAATAGTGCTGCAATAAACATGCGTGTGCAGGTGTGTTTATAGTAGAATGATATATATTCCTCTGGCTATATACCAAGTAATGGGATTGCTGGGTCAAATGGTATTTCTCGTTCTAGATCCTTGAGGAATTGCCATTCTGTCTTCCACAATGGTTGAACTAATATACATTCCTACCAATGTCTAGTGTACAAAAATAGAAATGATTTTCATAGGCTTCAGAATTTTAAAGAACATTTCCTTCAATGTGATAATTGGAAAAGAGAATATTAAAAACTTGTTTTGGTTTTATATGTTACTTGTCAATCATTTTTTCCTGCTCCTGTCATAGTTTTATTTCCAATAAAAATGAAGAACTTTCTGATATAATTGGACAGTTTCAAATTTTACTGGACTCTATGACTACATGTTCAGCAGTAAGAGTGAAAACATTTTCTGAAAGTTGACATATATATTTGTAGGCATATAGATGATAAGAGAGTTTACAATTTTTGTAGATAATAACTAAGATTAAAATATGAAATACAATTTAAAGTGAGAACACTACTATGTACTGCTATTTTGTTTAAGAGGGAAAAAAACTGTATAAGCCTTTATTATATATTTTCTGAGCTCAGCTGTAGTTTATAGCAGTCTAAAGGGTAAAATATTTTGCACAAATAATGAGGATAAATATAAAACAGGCTTTTCAGTAGTATCCTGCAATATTTACAATAGCTAACAGCATGACCTTCAGAAACTTGAGCATGTAATAGTAATTTGTCATTTTTCTCCAAGTTCGTTGACATTGTCAAGGCATATTTAACTCAGCAGGAGAATTTAAATTTTATACTTGGTGAATTCATGAAGCATTCTTTTCACTCTGAGGTTTCAGCTAAAAACACCCTTTTCAATTCTTTCAATAAATTACCATCTATTCAATTCTCGTGGCTTCATTAGAATGCTCAGTTGCAAATAATCAAAACACCACCTGCTTTCAAACTATGTTTATATAAAAGTTTACTTCTAATTTGTAATTTGGATAATGGCTGAAGAAATGCTTATAAATATGATCCCTGTGGGCAAGCAGAGCTAGAGAATTTGGTCAGAGTCCCGCACGGTGTAACGTATCTATTTTATCAGTGTGTTGGATTTAAATTGGCTGTGTTATATTAACTACTATTAGCACTGGGGAAAATAATTAAAAAATTAAAACAAAGTGAAATAATGGCATTTGAAAACTAATAACTCACAGAAAAACAAAACTATCTCTTTAGTAGGAACTGTGTGCTCCTATAAGTTTTACCCTTAACTCCACTTGCATGTATCACATACTCTCAAACTAGATACGCACTGTATTGTATGATAATTTTTCTCTACCTACCAACCCCAGCCTTAAACAAGATCTCAACATTCCTGTGAATTATAATGCAGTCTTCTAACTCATGCACATCATGGCTTCTGAAAACATCTTTTATTATGTCCTTTTCTTAATGTTCATAATGCTAATATCATTTATTAAATCCCTACAGTAGGTAGGTGTCATGCTACATATCAGCGGTATTATTTGCTGTATTTATTTATTTATTTATTATTTTATGAGAAAGACTCTCTCTCTGTCACCCAGGCTTGGGTACAGTGGAGTGATATCAGCTCACTACAACCTACACCTCCCAAGTTCAAGTGATTTTCCAGCCTCAGCCTCCTAAGTAGCTGGGACTACAAGCCCGTGCCATCTTGTCTGGATAAGTTTTGTATTTTTAGTAGAGACCAGGTTTCACTATTTTGGCCAGGCTGGTCTTGAACTCCTGACCTCAGGTGATCCACCTGTCTTGGCCTCCCAAAGTGCTGGGATTACAGGCGCGAGACACCACGCCCACCCTCCTGTAATAATTTAAATAGGCATTATTATATCCATAGTATGTAATCTACTTTATACAGAGAAGGAAACACATTTGGTTGGTTATTTACTTTGCCCTATCAAGGCGCACAGCAGGGAATGCAGAAGCTAAAACTTGAACCACTTACTTTCACTATATTACATTGTTCTACTCTCTTATATTTAAACTTTTCGAATATGTGTTCAAGTGGTATCTTGTTCTATTCCAGTATGATTCTTGGGCTCACTTTCTTTTTCTATTTGCTCTTCATGTACTTGGATCCAGAGTCCTAACAGTTTGCACTTAGTTTGCTTCTGTGGCTGCTGCAAGATAGCCTCTCTACTTCCACCCTTGTCTATTCTTTCTTTCTGCTTTTCACTGCCAGCTATAATTTTTCTGGTCAAAAAATTCATGTGCTTACTTCAGTGATGTAAGGTGTAAAATTTGATGTTTTACTTGCAAGGCCTTCCTTACTTTTGCTATAACTCTTAAAATATATTTCTCATTTTATTTCTGTTAGGTGTTAGATATCTCATACTATTTTTTCTTGCCCTCAGCTTGCTATGTAAGCTACCTGACTAGTGTGGATTTTGTATTTTACTTCAACTTTGAATTATCTCCTGTCGATTTTATTTTTGTCTATACAAGTCCCGTCCATTACACAAAACACAAATTAGATTCTGTCATTTACAAAGATATGATTTTACCTATCATATTCAACTTTCCTATTTAGAAACTTTGGCCCATATAGTGAGTGCCATACATTTTTCCAAAATTATCAATAGCCCTTTTTTTGTGGCATCTTATACGCAATCAGTTACTTCAAGGTGAGGCTGAATATGTCCTTTACATCTACTGGCTGCCAGAATCTCATTGAAGTGGATGATGAATGTGAATTTAGTACTTTTTTTTGAAAAGCATATGGCCATAGAAATCACGACTAAGGCTCTGGGTAAAGAATGGAAGGGTTATGTGGTCCAGATCAATGGTGGTAATGACAAATAAGATTTCCTCATGAAGCAGGATGACTTGAACCATGGCTGGGTCCTCTTGCTACTGAATAAGTGGAATTCTTGTTATAGACCCAGGGCAACTAGAAAAAAGAATGTGAAAATGTTTTGAGTTTCATTTGGATGCCAATCTGTATGGACTCAACTTCGTTATAAAAATAATTGTGAGAAAAAAATACAGTAGAGAAAGACATTTGTCGACTGACTGACACCACAGTGCCTGATCACCTGGGGCCCAAAAGAGCTAGGAAAATCACTAACCATTTAATTATCTTTAAAGAGGTAATATCTACCAATATGTTGTAAGAAAGCCCTTAAACAAATAAGGTAAGAAACCCAGGATCAAAGCACCCAAGGTTCAGCATCTTGTTACTCCGCATGTCCTGCAACACAAACTCTGGTGTATTGTTCTGAAAAAAACTGTGTATCAAGAAAACTAAGGAAGAGTCCACAGAATATGCTAAACTTTTAGCCCAGAGAATGAAGAAAGACAAAAACAGATCACCAGAAACAGATTGCCAAGACACATGGACTGTCATCTGAGACCTTCTACTTCTTAGTTCAGACAAAAATAAGTTTTTTTTTAAGTAACAACTAAATAAGATCAAACCTCAGAAAAATTAGCTATTGTTTATTAAGTGTTTAACATGTGTCAAGAATCCTGATAACTATACAGTTTTTGAATCCTCACAATACCCCAATGAATTACCAATTATCACTAACCTTACCTAAGAACAAGAGGAGGAGGAAAAAAAAATTGAGAAAGAGTAGCTCTCTCAATGTTGCATAGATACTAAATAATAAATTTGTTATAATATCTAGAATTTTATTTATTTGATTTATGGTTCAAAGAAAAATTATCTTTACCTCTCTGCACTGAGTAGAAATGTTTTAGAAACCTTAGGATTCATAATCTTCATAGCTCTTAACCAGTGTTTACAAGGCAGTCCACGTGGTCACAGAAAAGATAGTTATTCATAAAAGAAATGGAAGATAGTCACATTTTTATCATTTTAAGGGTATTAGTTATGAGGGTTTATGAAAACAATTTTATAATAAAAGTTTATTTTGAGAAAAAAATTACACCTGTTTACAGAAAATTAAATTTATGCTAATACTGACAAACAGTGCCTATGGTTAAATCTTGTATGACTTTGGAATTCATCAGAATATGACCAATAAGTTCATTGATTTGCGTATTTATTAATCCAGTCCTTCTCTCTTTAATGGGTAATGAGGTGAGGATAGTATTTGGCTTAGGAATAAAACCAAGAAAAATTTAATTCACATGGCTAGCATTGTATTTTTTAATTCACCAAGATCATTTCTGTCTTAAACTACCTGAAATAATTTTGTTTCAGTTTGTGACCCCAGTTACATTAAAATGAAATCCTCAATGTCTGTCATGTAAGACAGGGTTTGGCGCACGTTGGCACACAGACCCATGATATAATAGAACGCCTATATAGGGCAAGTAGCAAGGAAAAATTGTCTTTGTCATATTTCCTCCTTGGAGTAACAGAAAAAGCATCCTAAAATTTGTAAGAAAGAAAATAAAAATGAGAACTTTGGTGTCTCCAAACTTTTAATGTCTTAAATAGATTCAAAATTTAATGTGCCATCAACTTAGATTTTTACACTTCTTTGGGAGATTTTCTGGTTCAAATGTAACCAAAGAGAATGAGGCCAACCAGATTTTGTTCAAAAAATATTGCATGCGGCAGAACTGAAAAAGTCACTTGATGTTCAACAGTAATTAGTTATTTTATTTCAAAATGTGCCCTCTAAGGCTTTTAGTATTGATGATGAGAGACTGTCTGACACTAAGTAAAGTCAACAATGTAGCTGGAAAGAAGGAAAACTTTCTACACTTATAATATTTTAAGTTAATTATGAGAAAGATTGAGTTGCACAACCAAGTAATACAGAAAAAAAGAACTATGTATATATTTGTCCTCCGTTCTTAAGTGTTTGTTTTGTTTTATGCAAATATTTCAAAAATTACAACGTTAAAGAACATTGGCTATGTAGTAAGACTGTTCTGTAAGTACAGTCTTATGTACTTAGTACAAATACTGTTCAATATTGAATTTGTAGGTTTCCCAAGAAAAACAAGCCTCATTAAATTATGTTTCTGAAAATTTAGTAAATTTTTGGTACAATATGCTTATATTTCTATAATAAAAGCATTTTGTTTGAAAATTATAAATGATTATAGAGACTTCTCAAAAAAATATACAGGGTAGTTTGATTTTGTAGCTACAACAGAAAGAAACCAACAAATCTAACAGAGAAACAAAACTGATCCACTATTTCTGTTGCTGGACTCTAAATCTATCACGAGGTTTATTATGCATTTGCCTTCTTGAATTAGCTTTTTAACCTCAAATTTTAATACCCTGGTTTACAGTACTATACTGAATTTTTAGTTTCTACACACATTGTATTTCTATGCAATTCTTTTTGTAATCCATTAAAATTTAGCTTTGGATAGAGTGTTATGCATGATAATACCTTTGTCATGCATAAGTGTCTTTACTTTTGTCATCTCACATATAAAACAGGCAAAGAGTATGAAGCAGCAGAAGAGGTCTAAAGGGAGATCTTGGTGTGTTTACTTCCCTACTATGGTTAAAGTAGCATCGGAGAACTTCTTAATATTTCTACTATTTTATCAAATTACATTATTCAAACATAAAATCATGCTCTGTTTAAATTAATTTGATTTAATCAAATAATAAGTTGAATTATATAAAATTACCTATATTTGGTCTACCTAACTGAAAGTTTATGTTATACTTAATATTTATGTATCTGATTTGTTTAACTTTGGTCCATAAACTTCTTCTTAAAAGATTAAGGTTAATTCTAAAATCTAAATCCAAAATAGCTACTTGCAATGTCAATGTTAATATGATTTACAGATAAACCATTCATAATCATGAATATGTGTGAAATAGGAAACCCAAAGCATATTTTATGAGTTTTCTTTCTACTTTGATCATTATCAAAATAAAATATTCAATAAGCTAATATTTAAAGCCTCTACTACAATTAGTACAAGTCTAAATTATCTAATGAAGGTTACAAATCAGGAATATGTTATATTGCACATCAAAAACTAGGATTAAAAAAGAGACAAAATAGATAACTAAAACAAGTAGCTATGTATTTAGGAGAAGACAATTTACTAGGCCAATTTATGTAATATAGCCAATATAATATTTTATTAAGAAACAATGGAATAACTGATAAAAGTCAGTAGTAGAGGATTCAGTATAGAAAGGAGAACTTAAAGTGATTTATCTTAAAAAAATTAAGCTTGCTATCTTATATAGGCACAGTTCATTCTGCCTGAAAAACAATCGTAATGGTAACATCAAAAATCTCTGATCAGAGATCACCATAACAGACATAATAATAATGAAAACGTTTTAAATATTATGCGAATTACCAAAATGTGACACAGAGACACTAAATGAGCACCTGCTGTTTAAAAAATGGGGTCAAGAAGCTTTCTCCAGACACGGTTGCCAGGAACCTTCAATTGGTTAAAAATACAGTATCTGCAAGATGTAACAAAGTGAAACACAATACAATGAAGTATTCCTGTTATAACACAGTTTCATTTTCTACTGTAAGAATTAAGTGAGCTACAACATGTGTTTTCTTATTTTTCATGGCCTTATGTTCATATATGGTCAACTGTTAATGGTAGGCATACACAAAGTGGGGAACAAAAAGCAGTGTAATAAAACTTTTTTAACTGACTACATTCTGAGTAAATATAAATTATTTATTTTAAAATAATAAGTAATAAATATCAAATAAGGGAAATTTAAGTTCTAAAATTAGACCTTGATAAATAAATTCACATGTATATATCAGAAAGGTTACATTTGAGAAGTAATCACAGCCATGCATACCATATATTCCATACTCGGTTTTGTGTTTACTGATTTAGGGGCATTTACTTTTGAAGGCTAACACCGGCACTCTTTTATAATGTTTTCTTCTCTCCTAAAAGTAGTTTAAGCTTACTATAACATATCTAGAAAATACAGAAAATGAAATAGCCCATCAGAAGCTGGGCCATGTTTTACTTGCCTGTGTTGCCCAGGTTTTTATATCTGAATTAGTGATTTGCCTCCTTTGTTTTATTTTCCTCTAAGGCTTGCTGAGAAATTCTAATCACTACATGCTCAATTGCATTGTCCTACTTAGGGAGATTAACACTGATAGCAAGTAGACTTAAAACTTTGTCTCAAGTTTGCTTGTACTTACTGCAAAATTCTCTTGGATTTATATTTATTTTAAACCAAACTATTTTCACTATGCAAAATCTCCATTTATCATGAATTTTTAGAAGTTCTCCTTTACATAAAGCAAATATTTTAAAAATGATATTCTGTGGGATGTTTCCTATTTTATAAACTGATGCCTTTTTTATGGTTGCTTATCACCATCAAAGTTAAAACGTAAATAAAACATTAAAATGTCTCCTACCAGTTCAGATAGAAAATTTGAGCACCCAGGCTTGTACTTTTCCATTATGAAATTTCTTGAAAATTACAGAGAGAAATATCTCATTTTATATGTTAAATTTATATAGCACTATTCAAATCAAGGAGAATGCATAGTTGAAAGTTTGAAGAGTTTCAAAGTTTACTTAGTCTCAGAGTTTCTCCTTCAATATATTAAACAGTATGGAAAAGACAGTCATTTTACAGTGAAGAAACCCAGAAGACAGCATTTTAGCTTAATAATCAAGGTAAAATTCACCACTAAGAAGGCATATTAACATCGTGGATGAATTGAGAAGATGCGCTGAGAAAGACAAACATCACTGTCGTGATATTCTTGTCAAAAAGCCCTAACCTCATTCCGATAATGTGTAAACATAAAGTAAATGTAAATTGAGGGCCATTTTGCAAAATAACTGATTTAGTACTCATCAAAAGTGTCTTGAAAATCATGAGATGACATGAAAGGAATATAGAATTGCTACAGTCTGGAGGAGACTAAAGAAAAATAACTGATAGCAATGTGGAATCCTGGTTAGGTTCTTGAAACCAAAAAAAAAAAAAAAAGAAAAGAAGAAAAGAAATAAAATGGTAAAACTGCATAATATTTGTGGTTTATTTAATAATGTTACACCAATGTTTGTTTTTCCTAATAGTTATATTAAGGTTATATAAGATATTAACATTTGGGGAAACAGGGTGAAGGACTCCAATGGTTTGCAATTTTTCTAAAGAGTCTAAAATTAGCGCAAATTAGTGAAGTGACTGTCTTTTCTATAGTGTTTAATATATCGAAGGGGAAACTCTGAGACTAAGCTCAAACAAAAAGTTAAACACACACATGCACACACACACACACACACACACACACACACCAAAACAAAGCATAAAACTGTAGCAGCCTACAATAATAATCAAAAACAGAAAGAAGATTAGGAAGAAAAAGCAGCATAAGCAGAAACAGAATTTTTGTAATTTTTTTGGTAAGACTAGAAAAAAGATTAGAAATCAAAGAGGGAAAGAGGTCAAAATCTCTTTTAGGGCCTGAAAAAGAGAATGTCAGGAAGAGGGAAGACACAGTTTTCTTAAAAGTACTTAAGTTTTTTGTTTAAGTACAATCATCAAACTTAAATCCAGGTTAAAAACACAGCCTTAGGCTACATATTTTGTGTACTTCCCAAAATCCGCCTGAGAATAAAGTGTAATTAACCACATTTTGGGTTATGTGAAAACATCTCTCTGACAGCTCCTAAGAATTGGTTTTGGACAACCATTAATTTTTCTTTATATTGGAAATTTTGAGTAAGTGTTTGTGGAGTGGAGTCCACACATTTTTTTAAGTGAAAGCATGTTTATTAAGAAAGCAAAGGAATAAAAGAATGGCTACTCAATAGGCAGAGCAGTGTGTATATTGGTATTACTAACAAAAAAAAAGAAGTAGAGGGAAGGAGAATTTTAATTTATACTCAGGTCTGTGATCAATTGTTCACTTTTCTGTGAATTGGTGATTGTACCCTGTGGGGCTATACTTCCCAGACTATAAGCAAGGCACTAAAATTTACATTCTCTTTCTATTGTGTTGTTTTCTGTAATTAGTTATGGTTGAACAAACGAACAAAAAATAAGAGAGACATTGCCTTTATAGCCTTAAAAGCAACATTCCTGCTGTTACAGGAAATAATCTGAGTGTTTGATCCAGGCTACAAAGAATAGAAATTAAAAAGATATTTTTCTCTCTTTCTTCAAGGAAGAGGGCATCTCTCTTGAAACAGACATCTTATCTGTCATATTTTAATCACTGATCCTTAGCAGAGTCCCATCAGCCTTATGGTTGATGAGAATCTTTGCAGATTTGAACACTTAGTTATCTCTGTCTGATTCACAGAACTTTTAAACATAATTGTTTGACTTTTTTGTATGTTTATTTATGAATGATTTTCTTATGAAATTTTGAGAGTTCAACTAATGTACAAACTTAGATTCATTGTATTTCTTATGGATATCCACTTGCTTCTGCATTATTACAAAAAGATTCTTTCTGCCATTTAAATACCTTAGGATTGAAATCAATGAAAAAATACATATATGGTTTATTTTGTATGCTTCATTCTGTTATTCTCTCTAACTTTTCTTATTCTAGTACCTATGTACCCTGCTTAGTCTTGAAAAGGTGTAGTTGGAGGTCCTCAATGTTTTATTTGCTTTTTAAACATTTTATCCACTCAAGGTTTTTTGGATGTCCCTGTATGTATAGAATTAATTTGTTAATTACTATAACATAGCCTGTTGAGATTCTAATAGTGTTGTACTGAAACTATATATAAATTTATATCGGCACTCTTCACAATAGCAAAGACTTGGAACCAACCCAAATGTCCAACAATGATAGACTTCATTAAGAAAATGTGGCACATAAACACCATGGAATACTATGCAGCCATAAAAAATGATGAGTTCATGTCCTTTGTAGGGACATGGATGAAGCTGGAAACCATCATTCTCAGCAAACGATTGCAAGGACAAAAAACCAAACACCGCATGTTCTCACTCATAGGTGGGAACTGAACAATGAGAACACATGGACACAGGAAGGGGAACATCACACACCAGGGCCTGTTGTGGGGTGGGGGGAGGAGGGAGGGATAGCATTAGGAGATATACCTGATGTTAAATGACGAGTTAATGGGTGCAGCACACCAACATGGCCCAGGTATACGTACGTAACAAACCTGCACATTTTGCACATGTACCCTAAAACTTAAAGTATAATAAAAAAAAAGAAAGGATATTAAAATTTTAGTCTACATATCTATAAACGTACCATATCTCTTCATTTACTTGTCTTCCTAAAGAATTTTAATATACAGCCTTAAAAATATTTTGTTATACCTAAGTATTTTATTTTAAGCTATTTAGAAGTATTACATTTTTAAACTTCAATTTTCTAAGTATTTTTTGCCAGTGTGTAGAAGTAGATTTTTTCATATGTTCTATTATTTAACATGGATAATTTTACTACTGCTTTTAGTAGTTTTATTGGCAAAATATTTAGGATTTTGTATTTATATAATCCTGTTGTCTATTTTTTTAAAATTTACAATTTCTGTGACTTTTATTTATTCTTCTTGCCTAAATGAATTGAACTACCAGTATATTATTGAATAGAAGTGAGACTGGAAATCTTTGTCTTATTCTGATCTCAGGAAGACATTTAGGTTTTCAATATTAAAGTATGAAGTTACCTCTAGATGTTTTTGTTGATGTTCTTTTTTTGAGAAAGTTTCTTTCTACTCTACTTTTCTGAGCATTTTTATCACTAATGGATGTTGAATTTAGGCAAATGGTATTACTGCATCAAAAAAATGAGTATAGATTTTTTTTAGATGAATGTTTTCCCCCCTTTTCCTTCTGCTTATGTAGTGAATTATACTTATATTCCTTCAGCCTTGCTGACATTTCTGGGCTATGTTCAAGTCAGTAAAAATGTATTTATTTTTATATATTGTTGGATTTTATTTGTTAATATTTCATTCAAGATTTTTAAGTCTATTCTCATGAGGAATATTTTTCTGCATTTGTCTTTTATGATAACACCCTGCTCAGGTCTTCATGTCAAGATAATACATTATTTAATTTAAGCCTCACCTCGAGTATATTAAGCGATTATTACTAATACATTTTGTGGATGAACTTTCAAAAAATGATAAAGTGTTTATTGAGCGCATTTAAAATACAGCAGATCATTATGATACTTTGTAAAACTGCATATTCTTGGAAGTATGCATAAGACAGTGAAGTAAAGAGTCTTGCATAGGATAGCATGGCAACAGATCATCCTTAAAGGTTAAGGAAAAATGAAATATGGGGAATTTAGTTAGAGAACTTGAAACATCGTATTGGATCCCAATTGAAATATTTTCAGAGAAAACATTGTTTCCCAAAGTGTAATATGTAAAAGGTATATTTCATATTTATTAATTGATCAGCATCTACCTGTCAAATGTTCATTCCTACAGATAAATTACACATATTAAATTTTTGAGTAGAGTTACATTGCAGAATTTAAGTATTTTGCAATGAATGATTTTTAGCCAATTGTTACACAGAAAAAAATTACAATTTCTCCGAACTTAATATACCACAAATCAAACAATAACAGTATATTATTCTGTTTTCACACTGCTGATAAAGACACACCTGAGACTGGGTAATTTACAAAACAAACAAACAAAAAAAGGTTTAATGGACTTACAGTTCCACGTGGTTGGGGAGGCCACACAATCATGGTGGAAGGCAAAAGCCATGTCTCACAGGGTGGCAGACAAGAGAAGAGGGCTTGTGCAGGGAAACTCCTGTTTTTAAAACCATCAGATTTCATGAGACTTATTCACTGTCATGAGAGTAGCACAGGGAAGACCCACCCCCATGAGTCAATTACCTCCCATTGAGTCCCTCACACCACACTTGGGAATTCAAGATGAGATTAGGGTGGGAACACAGTCAAACCATATCATTCTGCTCCTGGCCCTTCCCAAATCTCATATCCTCATATTTCAAAACCAATCATGTCTTCCCAACAGTCCCCCAAAGTCTTAACTCATTTCAGTGTTAACTCAAAAGTCTACGATCCAAAGTCTCATCCAAGGCAAGGCAAGTTCCTTCTGCCTATGAGTCTGTTAAATCAAAAGCAAGTTAGTTACTTACTAGATACAGTGGGGGTACAGGCATTTGGTAAAAACAACCATTACAAATGGGAGAAATTAGCCAAAACAAAAGGGCTGCAGGCCCCATGCAAGTCTGAAATCCAGTGGGACAGTAAAATCTTAAAGCTCCAAAATGATCTCCTTTGACTCCATATCTCACATTGTAGGAAGGGGAAAAATTTGCCACACTAACGCCATTTTAAAATATGCCTCCATCTATAAGAGGTAGGGGCACCTAGGTGAAAAGCAAAAAACACCTTGTGTAAGATTTGATTAAAAGCCCAGAAATTAACTCAAGTCCCGGAACATCCTGAATACTGCTTCTGGAACTATTGTTCAAGTCCCGGAGCATGTGTTCCAAAATGCTGCTCCTGGAACACTGCTTCTGGAACAATTGTTTCAATGTTGTTCGCTCGGAAAGGGCCCTCCTGAGCAAACAACCAAAGGTTCCCAAGGTAACAATAGGACTTAATAAAAGGAGCTTACACAAAGTAGGATCAAAGGCTGCTGTTGTCATGTGCTGGGGGTCGCCCCAATTGTGATTTCAGGATACCCAGAATCTGCTTTCCAACTCAATGATGACTCCTTCTGTGGTCTGGTGAGCTTTGGTTACATTTTGTCTTTTTTTGTCAGTTCTTCAAAAACCTACTTAAGGCTGCTTTTGCTATAATATTTGCTTACAACTCTGACTGCAGGATCCCAGGCATCTGCCTTCCGACTTTGTGATGACTCCTCCTGAAGTCTAATGAGCTTTTGGTTACATTTTATTGAGCTTTGTTTACATTTTGTCTTCTCTTGTTATAAGGCTGTGTTTGTTGTAATCTCTGATTAAAGTAACAAAATTTTAGCTTTCCCCTGCCTCCCACTTGAGTCCTCTGCTTGTCCTTTTGACACAGTCTGGAAACATACATCCAGATTGCACTGATGCAAGAAGTGGGCTTCCACAACTTTGGGCAGCTCCACTCCTGAGGCTTTGAAGGTTATAGCACCCCTCCTGGCTGTTTTCATGGGCTGGTGTTGAGTGCCTGGCTTTTCCAGGTACACAGGGCAAGCTATTGCTGGATCTATCACTCTGGGGTCTAAAAGATGGTGGCATTCTTCTCACAGCTCCACTAGGTGGTGCCCCAGTAGTGACTCTGTGTGGGGGCTCTGACCCGACATTTCCCTTTGGCACTGTCCTAGCAGAGGTTCTTCATGAGGGCCCCGCCCCTGTGCAAACTTCTGCCTGGGCATTCAGACATTTCCATACAACTTTTGAAATCTAGATGGAGGATCCCAAACCCCAATACATGATTTCTGTGCCCCTGCAGGCTCAACATCACATAGACTCTGCAAAGGCATGGGGCTTGCACCCTCTGAGGCCAAGGCCTGAGCTCTATATTGGCCCCTTTCAGCCATGGTTGGAGCAGCTGGGATGCAGGGCACCAATTCCCTAGGCTGCACACAGCATGGGAACTCTAGGCTTGGCACATTAAACCATTTTTTCCTCCTAGGCCTTTGGGCCTGTGATGGGAGGAGCTGAAGTGAAAACCTCTGACATGCCCTGGGGACACTTTCCCTATTGTTTTGGGGATTAACATTTGGTTCTTTGTTACTTATGCAAATTTCTGCAGCTGGCTTGAATTTCTCCACAGAAAATAGGATTTTCTTTTCTATCACATTGTAAGGCTGCAAATTTTCCAAACTTTGTATGCTATGTTTCCCTTTTAAAACTGAATACCTTTACCAGCACCCAAATCATCTCTTGAATGCTCTGCTGCTTAGAAATTTCTTCTACCAGATACCCTAAATCATTTTTCTCAAGTTCAAAGTTCCATAGATCTCTAGAGCAGGGGCAAAATGCTGCCAGTCGCTGCTAAAACATAACAAGAATCATCCTTGCTCCAATTCCCAACAAGCTCCTCATGTCTATCTGGATTTCTGTCTGGATTTCATTGTCACCTCTGTCTGGATTTCATTGTCCATTCAACAAGTCTCTAGGGACTTACGAACTTTCCCATATTTTCCTGTCTCTTCAGAACCCTCCAAACTGTTCCAACCTCTGTCTGTTACCCAGTTCCTAAATCACTTCCACATTTTTGGGTATCTTTCACTTAATTAACTAATTTCACCTAATTCAATTCCACATTTTTGGATATCTTTCCGTTAATTTCACCTAATTCACTTCCACATTTTTGGATATCTTTCAGTTAATTTCACCTAATTCACGTCCACATTTTTGGGTGTCTTTCAGTAATGCCCCACTCTACTGGTACCAATTTACTGTATTCGTCCATTTTTACACTTCCAATAAAGACATCCCTGAGACTGGGCAATTGACAAAAGAAAAAGGTTTAATGGACTTACACTTTCATGTGGCTGGGGAGGACTCACAGCCATGACAGAAGGTGAAAGTCATGTCTCACATGGTAGCTGACACGAGTGGTTCTGCAGGGAAACTCCCCTTTTTAGAACCATCAGATCTCATGAGACTTATTCACTATCACAAGAATACCATGAGAAAGACCCACCCCCACTGGGTCCCTGCCACAACATGTGGGAATTAAAGATGAGAATTGTGTGGAGACACAGCCATACCATATCAAACAGGTAAGAAAATTTGAGCTATATTTTAAAATTAATTGCAGAATATCAAGTTCACAAGTAGATAATATGAAAATATGTCAAAAATCAACAATGAAGATGCATTTTTGACATTTTCCTACAACTTAGAAAGGCATCAGAGCATCCTTCTCAGTGTAAACCATTTTCTGCTACTACATATTTGTCTGAAGATATTTCTTTAAGGGATTTTTATATTTAGCTCTTGTTTTTGTTAATTTTTAAAAATTGACCTCCAAAATTTGGCAAAGTGTTGTTAAAAATTTGGATAATAAAGCAAATAATAATAAACATAATTTCAATGTATAAAAGATGCAATGGCAAATAGTTTGTTAACAAAAAGTAATGTTTTAAGCATTTTACATCCAAATATGAATGTTGCTTTTACATAGGTATTTTAATGTGTCTTGATATGGTTAGGAATATATATGATGGGAAAGTTCAGTAGTTGTGTACACAAATATAATATTCCCACTGAAAACCATTGAATTATCAATTTTATTTAACTTTTCAATAAACCAGGTTTTTGTTTCATTTATCTTTGTACTTTTTCATTTCAATTTCATTTAGTTCCGTTTTGATCTTGGTTATTTCTGTTTTTCTGCTTGGTTTGGGTTTGTTCCTGTTTCTAGACTGATAGAGAGATAAAAATAGAAGAGAAAAGATAAAAATAAGCTCAATTAGAAATGAAATGGGGGTATATTACAACTGATACCACATAAATACAAAATATCATTCAGGAATACTATGAACACCTTTACTTTTATAAACTAGAAAACCTAGAGGAGATGAGTAAATTCCTGGAAATACGCAACCTTCTTGGATTAAACCAGCAAGACACAGAAATGCTGGAAAACCAATAACAAGCAGTGACATTGAAATGGTAATTAAAAAATTACCAACAAAAAAAAAGTCCAGGACCAAATGGATACGGAGATGACTTCTATCAGATATTCAAAGAAGAATTAGTACCGATCCTATTTACACTATTCCAAAATGTAGAGAAAGTGGCAATCCTTCCTAAATCGTTCTATAAAGCCAGTATCACTCTAATACCAAAAGCAGGAGAAAACAGAAGAAAAAAAGTAAACCACAGACCAATATCCCTGATTAACATAGATACAAATATCCTCAACAAAATACTAGCTAACTGAATACAACAGGAAATCAAAAAGATAATTCACCTGTTTAGTGGGTTTTACACCAGAAATGTAGGGATATTTTAACATTCACAAGTCAATAAATGTGATATACCACATAAACAGAATTAAAAACAAAAATTACATGATCATCTCAATAGACACAGAAAAAGCATTTAACAAAATCCAGTATTCTGTTATTATTAAAACACTCAGCAAAATTGCCTGAGAAGGTTCATACATTAAGGTAATAAAAGCCATCTATGACAAACCTATAGCCAACATTATACTGAATGAGGAAACGTTGAAAACATTACCTGTGAGAACTGGAATAAGACAAGAATGCATACTCTCACTACTTATATTCAACATAGTACTAGAAGTCCTAGCCAAAGCAATCAGACAAGAGAAAGAAATAAAGGACATCCAAATTGGTAAAAAGGAAATCTAACTGTCACTGTTTGCTGATGACCTGACTGTATAGTTAAGAAATTCTAAAAACTCATCCAAAAGCTTCTAGAGCTGGTAAATGAATTCAGTAAAGTTTCAGGATACAAAAATAATGTATAAAAATTGGTAGCCCTGCTCTACACCAACAGTGACTAAGATGAGAATCAAATCAATAACTCAACCCCTGCTGCAGACCCTATTGGACTGAACAAAGGAGGACAAATGCAGGAATAAAGACAAAGACAAAAGAATATATTTGGAAGAATGAGTCAGGGGGCTTCTTGCTTCTGGTGAACAAGGGCCCTGAGCTTCTATTGCCCTTCATATTTATGGAGTAAAGGAGATAGGGAGAAGGGGGTGATTGTGGTCACCTGCTTGACTCAGTGCAGGCCTGCATGACTGCATTCTTTGAACAGTAGTCTCCAGATGTTCCAGTAGATAACCTGAAGGAGCACAGCACCAGGGAGTGATTGCCCTCAGCAAACTTCCTGGCGGCAGGTGCAGTTGCGAGTTTGCCCACATCCTGCATTCATGATAAACAGTTTGCTGTTTGATCATATAGCCTCCAGTGGAATACTGAGTTGGTCATGACCCACAGGCTTTCGGCTCTCTACAAACCCCTTTTAAAATAGCTGCAAAAAATAAAATAAAGTACCTAGAAATACTCATAACCAAAGAGGCGAAAGACCTCTACAAGGAAAACTAAAGAACAATGCTGAAGGAAATCATAGAAAACACAAACAGATAGAAAAATATCCCATTGTCATGGTTGGGTAGAATCAGTATTGTGAAAATGACCATACTGCCAAAAACAATCTGCAAATTCAATGCAATTCTTATAAAATACTACCACAATTCTTCACAAAACTAGAAAAAACAATTCTAAAATTCATATGGAACCAAAAGATAGCCCACATAGCCAAAGAAAGACTCAGTAAAATCAATAAATCTGGAGGCATCATATTACCTGACTTCAAACTATACTGTCAAGCCATAGTCACCCAAACAGCATGGTGCTGGTATAAAAACAGATATATAGACCAATGAAATAGGTGAAAGAACCCAGAATTAAAGCCAAATACTTAAATCAACTGATCTTTGACAAAACAAACAAAAACATAAAGTGGGGAAAGGACATCCTATTCAACAAATGGAGCAGAGATTATTGGAAAGCCACATGCAGAAGAATGAAACTGGATCCTCATCTCTCACCTTATACAAAAATAAACTCAAGACATATCAAATGCTTAAATATAAGACCTGAAAACTTAAAACTTCTGGAAGATAACGTTGGAAAAATCCTTGGAGACATTGGTTTGGGCAAAGACTTCATGACCAAGGACCCGAAAGCAAATGCAACCAAAACAAAGATAAATAAATGGGATTTAATTAAACTAAAAAGCTCTGCACAGCAAAATAAATAATCAGCAGAGTAAACAGACAACCCATAGTATGGGAGAAAAATCTTCAAAATCTATACATCTAACAAAGAACTAATATCCAGAATCTACATGGAACTAAAACAAATCAGAAAGAAAAAAACAAATAATCCCATCAAAAAGTGGGCTGAGCACATGAATAGACAATTCCCAAAAGAACATATACAAATGGCCACCAAACATATGAAAAAATTCTCAACATCACTAATGATCAGGGAAATGCAAATTGAAACCACAATGCGATACCACCTTCATCCTGCAAGAATGGCCATAATTGAAAAATCAAAAAACAGTAGATGTTGGCATGAATGTGCTGAAACAGGAACACTTTTACACTGTTGATGGGAATGTAAAATAGTACAACCACTTGGTAAACAGTGTGAACATTCCTTAAAGAACTAAAAGTATAACTACTGTTTGATCCAGCAATCCTACTCCTGGGAATCTACCTAGAGGAAGAGAAGTTATTATACAAAAAAGATACTTGTACTGTCATGTTTATTGTAGTCCAATTCTCAATTGCAAAACTATGGAATCAGCCCAAATGCCCATCAATCAATGAGTGGATAAAAAATATGGGGTGTGTGTATATATATATATATATATATATATATATATATATATATATATATGTATGGGGTTTGTGTATATATATATATGTATGGGGTGTGTGTGTATATATATATATCTATATATATCATATATATGATATATATATGATATATATAGATATATATAGATATATATATGGCATGAAATACTTCTCAGACATTGAAAGGATTGAAATAATGGCATTTGCAGCAACCTGGATGGAACTGGAGAGCATTATTTTAAGTGAAGTAATTTAGGAATGAAAAACCAAACATTGTACATCATATGTTCTCACTCATATGTGGGTGCTAAGCTATGACAACACAAAGGCATCAGAACAATGCAATGGACTTTGGGGACTAAGGGGAAAGGATAGGAGGGTGATTAGAGATAGCACAGGAGAGAGGCTGAGAGGGGGCTGAGGGCAGCTTGGTGTGTGCCTGCAGGCACCCCTTGGCAAGAACAGCCTATGTGCCATGGATTACATGATTGATGGCAGCAGGAGGCAGAGTGGGGGGTCTGGGCAGAAATGAGCAGGTTCCCAGTGAAGCCCCACCTTCAAGCCAGGGATTGCCTGAAGTATGGGGGCTGGGCTGTCAGTTCCAGGTGGAGTCTGCATCCTGGAGTGAGAACTTATGGTTCTTTTTCCAGACCCGCCCATGGCCACCCATGAGCCAATCATCACCCACTCTCTCCCTTCTGGAACCCATAAAAACCCTGGACTCAGCCAGACTCACAAAGACGTTGGGATTACCAGCTGTGAAAGGGAACTATTCACTTCAGGTCTTCTTGACTTGTTGGAACAACCTGCCTGCTGAAAGGCGCTACCCACTTTGGGAATCCTGAGAGCTGTTCTGTCACTCAATGAAGCGCCTCTCCTCCTTGCTAACCTTCCAGTTGTCCATGTACCTCATTCTTCCTGGACACAGGATAAGAACTCAGGACTCTCCAAATAGTGGGACTGAAAGAGCTATAACACGAACAGGTCTGAAACATGCCCCCTGCTTGCCATGTTGTGGGTAATAAGGAGAGAAGAGCTGTGACCTTTCGGGAATCCCAGACCTGGGGGCTCTCCAAGCCAAGTCTGTGACATCCTCTTTGGGTCTCTATGGTTCCTGGTGTCTCTAAGCTTCTGGGTGCCACCGCATTCCCTGTTGACTGGAGTGGAAGCCACTTGTGGTTCCACTGGTCCAGCTACAGCCTTGCACAGAGCTGGCACCTGTGCCATTACCTGGAGCTCCCTGCCCTGCCGCAGCCAGCGCAGTGGCTGGATGTGCACTCGCTCTCACACCTCTTGCCTTTCTGTGTCTGGATTATCTTTGGCAGGTATAGGATCCAGCTAGTAGTGCAAGCAGAGAGCAGCCTGCCCAGCTGAGTGGGTAGAATAAGCACAGCAGGCCTGAGCAAAACTCAAGCAAAGGCGCCACAAGCCACAGAGGTTTCTGCCTGGAAAAGCAACACCCGAAAGATCCTGCTACAGGATCCTGCAGTAGTTATGCCAAGTGGTTCTGCCATCTATTAATTACTATTTTTTGGCATTATAAGCTAACATCTAATGAATCAACGAGTAGGTTTCCTGGTTCAAATTCTATTGGAAATGCCATGAGCAGAATTTTTTCTAAAGTAATATATTTTGGTTTGCCCAGACAGCAAATCAGTTGTGACCAGAGAAACATGTCTTCCTTTTAATGAGAGCAAAGCTTAGCTTTCTCTAGAGCTGTTGGCTTGCCATCTCAACTTGTACTCCTTGACCTTCCCCATCCTTAAAATATAATAGAATGCAACGATCCATAGTCCCCCAAGTTACCAAGTGGAGAGTAGCTGAAGCTCTCAGATAACTTATCTAAATAATTGACAGCCCAAATACAGACTACACAAAGGCAAAGAAAGTTGGCATTTTTCAGATAACTAAGCTGCTTTCTCAAATTTTCCCTATACAACTGAAAATAGGAATTGGAGCCTCTCTGCAAAAACAGAAACACACATTGGAGCTCTGCAGAATTTACTGACCCTGGCAAGGCTTTCTGAATAATGATGGAGAAAGGAAAGGCCCATGAATTCCCTTTTCTAATAAATTATGCTGCTTAACCCATGCTCTGTGATACTGCAACAGTCATCTCTAACTCTAGTTTATAAGGGATGAAGATAGCAAGGTACTCACCATGCATGACACAAACTCTCTTAATTAATAATAGTGTCATGTTGACACTAAAATTAAAAAAAAAACTTTTTCTATTTTTAATTTATTTATATATAAAAAATTATACCTAAATTGTAGAAACAAGGCACAGTTCATGGTACACACAGGATTCATGTCATTGGTAGTTGCTCATTTTTAATTGCCTATGTCTCTTACCATTATTAAACTTTATACCATAAAAAATTCCACAAACGATATTTCCATAAATATCAGCACAGACAGAATTGGTTTTATTTTACTTACTATCATTCTAGAAGATAAACTAGCTAAGAAAAAAATGGAGGACATATAAATTAAAGACAATTTCTTTGAACACTTTCAGATAATGTGATTTTAATTTGAGATTCAAAAAATCATCAAATGAGATGTTATGACTAACATAATTTAAAAATTGGACTTTTCAGTAATAATAAAACATGTAAATTGAAGAAAAGGTTTAAAATATATTCAGAAAAGCTATGTCATGGATAATATAAAAACAAATATAAGAAATCAGTAGAATCCAACTAACAAGATATCTTAATATGTAATTAAAGAAAATTACAAAAATCTAGTGAAAGCCGTAAAAGAAATTTAAATATGTATTGATTTATTTAAACAAAAAGAAATATATTTTATCATGGTAATTTCTCCAAGTTTATGTGTGAACTTTATACAATTTATGCAATGCCTAATATGTTTTATTTTATTTTGGTGTAAGAAATAATATTTTTCTATGGGAAATGACCATACGTATTTATAAATATAGTAAATTTTATGTTAGATATTAATATACCATAATATACCATAAATCTGTTACAAATAAAAATATGTGATTGATATTGTAATTAATAAACACAATGACATACCCTAATATGAAATGTATTTTCTTTCTAAAAACTAAAGAGTAAAAGTAGTTTTTTAATTAGTTTTGAAATAATGGATTATTTAATAAATGGTTACCTAGTAAAATATCGAGACTAAAATGCAGAGTTCTCAAAACTTGGACAAAGTTTTTCATTTAAGAATGGATATTTTGTATATGTTCATGTTTTGAGGAAAGTCTTTTAAAGTGTTACATAATATACACATAAGTGATTTATATTCTTGATTATATACTTTTAAATATTTTAATCAAACAACACAGAAGCAAAATTAAATGACAGAAAACAGCATGAGAATAATATTTGCATGATAAAGTCAAAATGGATCTATAAGGTAGTGTATACTCACAAATAACCAAAATCTTGAATTGAAACTTTGATTTAAAAAATAGAATTTGGGGCATGAAATGGAAATTCCCAAATTTACTAATTTGTATGTGCAAAAAGAATCAAATTTATTTACGTATGGAAGCACAGAAACAAACTTTAAAAGATATTTATTATGCTGTTTTAAAAATCATAGGCTGATAAAAATAGATAATATTAAGTTAGCAAGTTTTTGAAAAAATAGGTATGTATCAAAACTCCTAAAATATTCATACTTTTCAAACTTGTAACTCTAGTACCATAAATTTATTACAGAAAAATAATACAAAATTTTCACATAGATGAATGCCCAAGAATCTTTATTCCAGGTTCAATATATTTTCTAAAAAGCCTAAAAATTCATCATTTATAAAATGTTAGTGTAAATTTATTATGAAAATCATTCAGTCTTTAAAAATCATTCTACTGAATAAGTGTCATGGTAAGGTTTACATAATATCTTTTATAAAAATTTATTATTAATATAGGCTGTGTGTACTAATTTATATGTAAACATTTGTCTAATATTATAAAATATATTTCATATTAAATCTAAAGTTTATTCTTTTCTCTACTCCCTAGTGGGCTGAACACACACATAAATCATGGTTCTAAAATAGTTTACCACAGTGAATAATCCTACATGATAAATCTACCCTTGAATTGTGGGTGATGTGGATTAGAAAACAAGATGAATGTGGTCGAGATACTACCCCTCCTTACAAACTACTATCTTTCTTGACTAGAAACCTTTGTTTCGATGCTTATTTCAAACATGATTACCACTCTAGTGTTATGCTTATTGTTTGCATAGAATTTCTTTCACTTTTAAGTTGTTTATATTTAAAGTGAGATTCTTCTACATGGTATTTTATTTGATCCCCTTTTTTATATTTTTCATTATTGTGTGTACATACTAGGTATATACATTTATGAGCTACATGGATTATTTTGGTGCAGACATACAATGCATGAAAATCACAGGCAAAATAAGGTATACATCACCTCAAGTATTTATTTATTATTTGTGTTATAACCAATCCAGTTCTACTCTTTTGTTTATTTAAAAATGTACAATAGAAGGGAGAGCATTAGGACAAATACCTAATGCATGTAGGGCTTAAAATCTACACTATAGGTTGATGGGTGCAGCAAACCACCATGGCACATGTAAACCTATGTACCAATCCTGCACATTCTGCACATGTATCCCAGAACTTGAAGTAAAATAAATAAATAAATTAAATAATTAAATAAATAAAAATGCACACTAAATTATTGTTGACTGTAGTCACCCTGTTGTGCTATCAAATACTAGATCGTATTCATTCAATATAACTATTTTATTATACCCATTAAGCATCCCTATTTCCTCACCCGCTGCTACTCTTTCCAGCCTCTGTTAACCATCCTTCTATGCTCTATCTTCATGAGTAAAATTGCGTGGTTTTTTTTTCTTTTTAGCTCCCACAAATAAGTGAGAACATGCAAAATTTGTCTTTCTGTGCCTGTCTTATTTCACCTAACATAATATCCTCCAGTTCTATCCTTGTTGTTGCAAATGACAGGACCTCATTTTTTTTATGGCTGCGTATGTACCACATTTTCTTTATCCATCATCTGTTGATGGAAACTTAGGGGGATTCCAAATTTTGACTATTGAGAATAGTGCTGCAATAGCATAGGAGTGCAGATATCTCTTTTATATACTGATATACTGATTTCCTTTCTTTTGATCCTATGTCTAGCAGTGGGGTTGCTGGATTATATGGTAGCTCTATTTTTAGTTTTCTGAAAAACCTCCAAACTCTTCTCCACAATGGCTGTACTAATGTACGTTCCAAACAACAGTGTGCAAGGGTTCCCTTTCTCCTCACCCTCGTCAGCATTTGTTATTGCTTGTCTTTTGGATGAAAGCCATTTTAAATGGGGTGAGATAATATCTCACTCTAGTTTTGATTTGCATCTGTCTGATGATCAATGATGTTGAGCACCTTTTTGTATTCCAGTTTGCCATTTGCAACAATTTCTTTTGAGAAATGCATATTCAAATGATTTGCCCGTTTTTTATTGAATTATTAGGTTTTTTCCTAGTTGTTTGAGCTCCTTATGTATTCCAGTCATTAATATCTTGTCAAGATAGGTAACTTGCATATATTTTCTCTCTTTCTGTGGGTTGTCTCTTCACTGTGTTAATTGTATCCTTTTCTGTGCAGAAGCTTTTTAACTTGATGCAATCTCTTTTGTTAATTTTTGCTTTGGTTTCCTGAGCTTGTGGGGTGTTACTCAAGAAATCTTTGCCCAGACCACTATCTTGGAAAGTTTTCCAAAAGTTTTCTTGTAGTAATTTCATAGTATGATGTCTTAGGTTTAAGTATTTAATCTATTTTGACTTGATTTTTGATTATCGCAAGAGATAGGGGATTAGTTTTATTCTTTTCCATACGGATATACAGTTTTCCCAGCACCATTTATTGAAAAGATTTTTTGTTCTCAATATATGGAGTTATTTTTGGGTTCTCTGTTCTGCTCCATTGGTCTATTTGTCTGCTATTATGCCAGGACCATGTTGCTTTGGTTACTATAGCTGTGTAGTACAATGTGAAGTCAGGTAATGTGATTCCTCCAGGTTTGTTCTTTTTCTTCAGGACAGCTTTTCCTATTTTTGGGTTTTGTGGTTCCATACACATTTTAGGAATTTTTTGTCTATTTCTGTGAAATTGTCATTAGTATTTTGATAGGGGTGGCATTGAATCTGTAGATTGCTTTAGGTAGTATAGACATTTTGACAATATTGATTCTTTCAGTACATTAACATGGAATATTTTTCCATTTTTTGTGTCCTCTTCAATTTCTTGCATCAAAGTTTTGTGTTTTTATTGTGGAGATCTTTTACTTCTTCAGTTAAGTTTATTCTGAGATATTTTATTTTTTGTCACCATTGTAAATGGAATTTTAAAAATTTGGTTAGATTTTTCACTGTTAGCCCATAGAAATTCTACTGATTTTTGTATGTTGATTTTTTGTTTTGCTTTTTTTTTACTGGGAGATTTTTTTTTGACAGGTTTGATCTTGTTACTTTCATTGGTATGTTCAGTTTTTTTTAATTTCTTCATGGTTTAATCTTGGTACATTGTATATGACTAGGAATTCATCTATTTTGTCTAGGTTTTCAAGTTTATTGAAATATAGTTGTTCATAGTATCCACTAATAAAGTTTTGAATTTATGTGATATTGGTTGTAATATCTCCATTTTTATTTCTGATTTTTATTAATTTGGGTTTTCTATTTTTTTTCATCTGGCTAAAGATATGTCGATCTTGTTTATCTTTTCGAAAAAACACGATTTTGTTTATCTTTTCATTTCATTGATCTTATATATTGTAATATTTACATTTTGATTTGTTTATTTCTGCTCTGATCTTTACTGTTACTTTTCTTCTAACATTGGGTTTGGATTTCTTTCACTTTTCTAGTTGCATTATTAGATGCATTATTAGATTATTTGAAGTTTTCCTGTACTTTTAGATGTAGGTAATTATAGCAATAAACTTTCATCTTAGTACTGCTTTTTCTATATTCCATAGGCTTTTGCTACATTCCATAGGTATTCCACAGGGTTTTTATTTGTTTTTATTATAATTTGTTTCAAATATGTTAAATTTTTATCTTAATTTCCTCATTGGCCCACTGTCTTTCATGAACTTATCATTTAATTTCCATGTGTTTGTATAGTTTCAAAGTTACTTTTTGATTCCTAGCTTTATTTTATAGTTGCCAGATATTTGGATGTGATTTTATTATTTTATTTTTTTGAAGATTTGTTTGGTGGTGTAACATATTGGCTATCCTTCAGAATGATTCATGTCCTCAGGAGAAGAATGTGTGTTTTGCAGCCAATGGTAAAAATGTTCTGTAAATATTCCTTATGTCCATTTGTTCTGCAGTGTAGATTAAGTCCCATGTGTCTTTGTTGATTTTCTGTCTGGATGATCTGTATCTGCTGATTGAAATCTACAGCTATTATTGTATTGGTGTCTCTCTCTTTAGCTCTAATAATATTTGTTTTATGTATCTGGGTGCTCCATCGTTGAGTACATACCTACTTACAATTGTTATATTATCTTGCTGAATTCGCCACTTTATAATTATACAATAACTTTTTTTTTGTTTTTATATTTTTTTGTCTTGAAATCTATTTTGTCTGATATAAGTATACATACTCCTGCCCTTTTTTGGTTTCCATTTGCATGGAATATCTCTTTCTATCTCTTTATTTTCAGTGTATGTGTGTCTTTATAGATGAAGTGTTTCTTGTAGGTAACAGATCACTGGGTATTGTTTTTTATCCATTTAATCACTCTATGTCTTTTGATGGGAGAGTTTAGTCTATTTACAATCATTGTTATTGATAAGTGATGACTTATTCCTACCATTTTGTTATTTGTTTTCTGGGTGTTTTGTCGTCTCCTCTTCCCATTTTCCTTTCTTTCTGCCTTTCTTTTAGCAGGGTATTAATACTTCAATTGCTATCTCTTCTTCCTCTTTAAGGCCAATACCTCTTAGATTTTTTCCCTGTGGAGGCTACTTTCTAGACAGTAGGCATGTTTAATTCTTTTTACTTCTTTATGCTTTTGTCCCTCCTTACTACTTTTCTTTCTTCTTACTATGTATTTTTCATCAGCCTATCTTCAAGCTCTCTAATTCTGTCTTCTGCTTGGTAATTTCTGCTTCCACTCAAAGTATTATCTTGGATTTCATTGAGCTTCCTCAAATCAGCTATCTTGAGTTCTCTGTCTGAAATGTCACATATTTCTGACCCCACCCTCTGGATTTTGTCACTTGTGCATTATTAAATTCATATGGTGAGGACATGTTTTTCTGGATGGTCTTGATGTTTGTTGGTGTCTGGGCATTGAGGAGTTAGGTATTACCTGTAGTCTTCACAGTCTGGGCTTGTTTGGATCCATTCTTCTTGGGAAGGCTTTCCAATATTCAAAGGACTTTAGTGGGTGGTTTCATTTTTTAGTCACTACAGGTTCATTTGCTTTAGTTTTTACCCCAAGTCTGGTAATGTTGTATTGCAGATTCACAGAAGTATCACCTATGTGGTATCGGTTAGAATCTGAAAGAATTCTCTTGATTACCATGCAAAGATTCTTGTTCCCTTCCTTTACTTACTTTCCTCTAGACAGATATGCTGTGTGTACTGAGCTCTCCAGAGCTGGAAAATGGGTGGCACGACCACTCTTGTGGCCGTCACCACTAGGACTGTTGTCATAGCTGAAGCTGGCACAGCACTGGGTCATACCTAATGTCCACAGCAACCACTGCCTGGCTACTGCCTATGTTTACTCAATTGCTAAAGGCTCTACAGTCAGCAAGTGGCTAAATAAACCATGCTTTTGTCATTCCTTTAGTACGGCAAGATTCCACCAGCCTAGTGGGTCTGAAGATGCTGTCCAGGAGCTAGGCTTGGAGTCAAAAACCTTAGGAATCTACCTGGTGCTCTATTCTACTGCGGCTAAGCTGGCACTCAAGCCACAAGACAAAGTTCTTCCCACTAATTCTTCCCCTTTCCTAAGGCAGAAAAGTTTTCCCCATGGCCACCACACTCAAGGCCTATGTAAGTACTGCCTGGCTACTGCCGACGTTTGCTCAAGGCCCAGTGGTTCTTTAGTCAGCTTGTGGTGAATGCTGTCAGTCATGATTCTCTCCCTTTAGGGAACTGGGCTTCCCTGTGGCCCAGGGCATGTCTAAAAGTGCCATTCAGAAGCAAAGGCCTGGAATTAAGGACCCCAGGAACTCCCTTGGTGTTCAAACCCACCGTGGCAGAGCTGGTACTCAAACTACAAGACAAAATTGATTTTACTCCCTCCTCTCCTTTTCTGAATCAGAAGGGGTCTTTTCCTGAAGTCATCACAGCTAGGAATGTGCTGGATCACCAGTGAAACCAGCACTGCTCTGATTCTTACCAAAGTCCTACAACAAGTACTGCCTGACAACCACTACTGATTACTGAGGGCCTATGGGCTCTATAGTCAGCAGGTAATACATTCTGCCAGGATGAAGTCCTTCCCTTCAAGGCAATGGATTCCCTTCTGGCGTAGAGTGTGTTTAAAAATGTTGTCCAGGAGGTAGGGTTGGAATGGGTACCTTGGGACTCTGCCTGGTGCCCTATTCTACTGTGGCTGAGCTTGTAACTAATTTGCAAGACAAAATCCTCTTTAATCTCCCCTCTTGTCTTCTCTCGCCTCCTCTCTTCTCCTCAAGTAGACCGAATGAGTCTCTCCTGGAACTGTGAGCTTCACTGCCTGGGGTTGGAAAAAGTGTGATGCAAGCACTTCCTTGTCTGCCCTGGTTGATATCTCACTTGGTCATGTGTACCCTAAGTCTACTGGCTCTGAGTCCAGCACAGCACCAGGAATTGCCCAGGAATTGTAGTCCTTGTTGTTTAGACTGCCTGTCAAGTTTATTTAGAACCCCATGGCACTTTAGTTCAAGGTGGTGTGGCTTGCTGATACTCAGGTTCTGACAACTAGGATGGAGGATTCCCCTCTGCCTAAGGCTGGTCTAAGTGTTTCCTTCATGGTTACTGGCTGAGTTCTGCCCTATGTTGCTATCTGCTATAATAGGGCAGCAATGAGTTCCAAAGATAATCCAATAATAACTGCTCTCTCTCTTCTGCAAATACACAGATTTTCTTTCTGGACCACAGAGATTCTGTCAGGGGTAGTAGAAGGGTGGTGTAGATGATACAAGATGATCTTTTTTACCCAAGGCTGTTTTTTCTATCCTCTTCAGTTCCTCTGAGTAACTACAGAATCCTTTGAAAGAAACAATTCTGAGTATTATTGTCTAGAACTTTCAAAAATTATAAGCAAAAAATGAGAATGCATTGGAAGGATCTTGGTGTATTTTCTCTTATTCAATGTGAGGGAATAAATAGCGTTCTGGAAAATAAGGAATTTTAAAAAATGCGGGGAAATTGAGAGATAGCTATAAAGCTAAGAAGTTCTGCCATCGATTTGATACAAGACTTAATTCTGCATTCTCTGGGCCTCACTCAAATTCTCAGATAAAGAGGAATTGACTTCTTTAGATGATGTATTCATTTCAGTTCAGACATCTATACTTGGGGAAGGGAAAAGGTTAGATAGCAGAACCTGGTTGCCAGTGACAGCAGTTTGCTAACTGGAGGAGCTAAGGCCAAAACTAAATATCTACCTTCTACAGAGTCTATGGAGAAAGATTGTATTGAGATGTCACTGGGTAAAATATTGTTAATCATGTATACTTCCTCTTTGCAAGCTAAATTTTAATCAATTAATTTTTATTATCTATTTTAGTTTATAGATTTACTGAAAACACTAAATTGTGTTTTTGTTCCATATGTAAAATTTTCTTAGAGATTATCTCATTTTCTCCCCAATTTCTCTACTTCTCTGTTGAATATAAATTCCATCAATAACATTTTCTGTATTCAATTGAATATAAATTCCATCAATAACATTTTCTGTATTCAAGACATATCAGTTCTGTTTTTTCTTCAGAGACTCATCAGTTTGCAAGCTCCATCTACCTGCTTGTATCAGCCCTGTTAGATCACTAGGACTACTGCTCAGTTGCCATAAGAAAATTCCTTGATATTTCATCCTAAGGTTTCTTGTTGTTCCCATTTATGCAGAAACCTGTAGAACTCTGTTTAGAACAATTATCTCTTATTTCCTGAATTCTGTGATTTATCTTACAGTTTAAATACAAGGTGAAGTGGACATTTAGTCAGGTTTCATAGTAGATCAATTTTTGTTTAAATTTTAATAAGTCTTTATTTTAATTTTTGAATGGGTAAAGAATTTGGAGTTGAAAATAACTTTCGGCCAGAATATCTAAGGCGTTATTTTGTTGAGTTATCATTTTTATTTTATCAATTTTTATAAACTACTAATCATTTTGTTTGTATAACATAAAATGCTTTACACTTTTTTGGATGTGAGTCATAAAAGATACTACGTCCAAGGAAAATATAACAGATAATGAAATCAGATTATCTGAACCATGGTCTGAAGATCAAGCAATAAGTACGCTTTGCACAATGCTTTTTAACAAGATATTACTTTATCTAGATATGTTAACTTTATGTGCAGTATACAGTCCTTTTTTTCCCAGAAACAGCATCAAATAAATATTGTTTTATTATATCCAATAGGTTGTATTTTTATCATAAAGTGTTACAAATGCAAAACATTAAGAAGTAGGCCAGATATTAAATTTAAAAATCAACCAAGGAAGATGACATCCAAGTAATAACAGCTATGGAAAGAGAAAGCAGATAATAGCATAGCGAAGGGAATGTACAGAGAAAGGGTCATTTGTTGTAACTTTGAGAAAAGCAGAGATGATAAATACGACCTCCGTATCTTTGTCCCTAAATCTTTCCTTTTTATTGGTGGGTATTGGGGGGTGGTTCTCTATGATTAGCTATATCCATTCCCTAGCTTATGACAGAAACTAGAGAGTTGATACCTATTGCTAGGTGCTAGGACATATAAATTCTGTCTTTTACTTCTTTCTAAATTATCTAATTGTATATACCCACCTGGTAACCAACCCCAATTCAAGCCATCATCCTATTGCAACAAATAATGACATATTTTCCTAAATGTCATTTTTGCAACAGTTATTTCCTCTAATTATTATTATTCTTGTTCTAAATAAGTATTATTTCAAGATACTAGTAAATCTGCATGCTCTTAATATACAGCCTAATTTTTCTAGAACACCTCACAATGCTTTTGTTATATAAAAGGCATAAGCTCTAAATGACAAGACTTTCAGCATAGTATTTCTTGCCTTCCTCAGTGCTCACATTCCAACTCTACATAGTAACTTACAAATCTCTGAATGTTTCATGATCTATCTCATCTCTTTGCTTTAACTATGACTGTCCCATACCTGTGACTTGATATATCTTACCTCATTCCTCTTGTTTAGGCTAACTCCTATTTTTAGTTATCTTTCAATTAAATTGTTAGTCCTCCAGAAAGCCTTCAAGATAATTATACTCTGGGCTTTGAGAGCATGCTTCACTTGCCCAAAGTAACTTTGCTTATATTTTAATTGTAATTTTCCACAGTATTAGTTCCACTAAATTGTGAGTCATTTGAAGGTAAAAACTGTATTTACTTCATCTTGGACTAATAGCAAGTAGACACTTGACACAAGTGGATGTGAAAGAAATGTGTGTTGAATTAATATGCAGATAAAACATTGGGAACATTTTCAAAATTTTTCCTTGATTATAGAAAGGAAACATTTGACAGGCAGGCAGAATAGCAAAATTTTGGCTTCAGTATTATGATAAGGCTAAATGCAGCTCCTGAAAATAATAGTAATAAGATTAATGTATATAATAACATCTCTAAATGACTTAGTTATGTTTTAGCATTTAGTTCTAGAACTTTTCCTTGACATTATATATAATCTGAAAGATATTGGCTTTTTTATAAAAGCAGAAATTAGTAATTCAGCAAATGTCTGAAGAATGAATATACCTTGCTTAAATTAAAGCTAAATTAATTTCAGTATATGTAACTTAGAAAAATGTTACTTGTTTTAGGAAAAATGCTTTGAATAATGTTGATCAGCTGTTTTCAGCCATCTGATGATAATGTAGAGCAATTAGTAAATAAACCCTTTTGGGAGAGTTTATTCTATGTTTTTATAAAATATATTTAATACATTTAAAATTATTGGAGACATTTTTACATAAACACACAAAAAATATTATTTAGGAAAATAGCTGTATAGGTTGAAATCTATTAGTTCAACATAGAGCTGCTCTGATCAATCCCACTAACAAAACAAAACAATACAATTTCTTAAGCATGTCCAAGTGAACTTGACATTTGAAAAGTTTTTGAAAGATGTTTTATTTTATCTTTTTTTGTCTGTTCTTTCATCTCTGATATCTGTTGTAGTATGAGCTGAAAATGTTAAAGTGATTCTGTAAATGAATATAAAATTTGCAATTTTGTTTGTATATGAAACACTTAATATTTTCAAGATATTGTAGCCAAGCAGTAATTACTCACAGTACTAGTCGCATAAAAACATTGACATCTTGCTGTGGATTACTCATTTCACTAAATGACACAAAGTGTTCCCACTGTTAGCTCATAGTGTTTACACAACAGATGTACTTCAAAAAGTTAAAATTATCTTACCTACCAAAAGAAATTTTATGTTAGAGATTATATAACAGTTTTGCAGATAATTTTAAAGTTTGCTTATTTAATCAGACAGTAAAATAACTTCAGAATTGAATAAAACATTAAATAAATAACCTCTAATTTTTTTTCAAGTCTTGAGATTCTCTGTGATATTTGTAAATACCATATAAAGGAACTTAAATTCTAGCAAGGTCCTCAAGAACCTTTTCAGTTTTACACTTAAGGCAAAAATAAAAAAACTTTGCAAGAATTTTCATTTCTTTTTTTCTGGCCTTCCCAACAGTCATACATACATGTAAAAGTCAATGAAATTTTGTCCTTCTTTGTGCCTAGGAGAAAGCAGAAGGTTTCTATTATTTCTTCTCAACTTTGAGCCCTAGATTTTCCAGTAAATACTGAGGGACCTACTATGTACTACTAAGTAATTTTAAGATATTTTTGTTATTAAAGCTGTTATTCCAATTATTCCAACACCATTTGTTGAATAGGGTGTCCTTTCCCCACTTTAAGGTTTTTTTTGTTTTTTGGTTTTGTTTTGTTTTGTTTTCTTTTCTTTGTCAAATATCAGTTTACTGTAAGTATTTGGCTTTATTTCTGGGTTTTCTATTCTGTTTCATTGGTTGGTATGCCTGTTTTTTATACCAGTATTATGCTGTTTTGGTGACTATGGCCTTATAGTATAGTTTGAAGTCAGGTAATGTGATGCATCCAGATTTGTTCTTTTTGCTTAGTCTTGCTTTGGTTATGCAGGCTCTTTTCTAGTTCTGTATAAATTTTAGAATTTTTTTCTAGTTTTGTGAAGAAGGATGGTAGTAGTTTGATAAGAACTGCATTGAATTCATAGATTGCTTTTTGCAGTATGGTCATTTTCACATTATTGATTCTACCCATCTATAAGCATGGGATGTTTTTCAATTTGTTTGTGTTTTCTATGATTTCTTTCAGCACTGTTTTTTAGTTTTCCTTGTAGAGGTCTTTCACCTCCTTGGTTATATGTATTGGAAGTGTTTTTTTTTCATTTGTTTGTTTGTTTTGTTTTGTTTTGTTTTTGCAGCTATTGTAAAAGGGGTTGTGTTTTTTATTTGATTCTCACCTTCGGTGCTGTTGATTTAGACCACGGCTACTGATTTGTGTACATTAATTTTGTATCCTGAACTTTACTGAATTCATTGACCAGTTTTAGGAGCTTTTTGCCTAAGTCTTTAGGATTTTTAAAGTATACAATCATGTGATTGACAAACAGGGCCAATTCGATTTCCTCTTTACCAATTAGAGTGTCCTTTATTTCTTTTGTCTGATCACTTTGGCTAGGACTTCCAGCACTATGTTGCATAGTAGTGGTGAGAGTGGGCATCCCTGTCTTGTTCCAGGTCTCAGAGGGAACGCTTTTAACCTTTCCCCATCAGTATAATGTTGGTTGTGGGTTTGGCATAGATGGCTTTTATTACTTTTAGGTACTTCTCTTCTATGCTAATTTGTATCACATTTATTAAATTGTGTATGTTAAACTGCCCCTGTATCCCTGGTATAAAACCCACTTGATATACTGGCTTATCTTTTTGATATGCTGTTGGATTTGGTTGACTGCTATTATGTTGGTGCAAATGTAATTGGAGATTTTGCCATAAATGACAAAAACTGCAATTACATTTGCACAAACCTAATATTTTGCTGAGGATTTTTGGATCTATGTTCAACAGGGATATTGCTCTGTAGTTTACTTGTTTTCTTTTTTTTTCTTTTTTTTTTAATTTTTATTTTTATTTTATTATTATTATACTTTAAGTTTTAGGGTACATGTGCACAATGTGCAGGTTAGTTACATATGCATACATGTGCCATGTTGGTGTGCTGCACCCAGTAACTCTTCATTTAGCATTAGGTATATCCCCTAAAGCTATCCCTCCCCCCTCCCCCAACCCCACAACAGTCCCCAGAGTGTGATGTTACCCTTCCTGTGTCCATGTGTTCTCATTGTTCAATTCCCACCTATGAGTGAGAATATGCGGTGTTTGGTTTTTTGTTCTTGCGATAGTTTACTGAGAATGATGATTTCCAATTTCATCCATGTCCCTAACAAAGGACATGAACTCATCATTTTTTATGGCTGCATAGTATTCCATGGTGTATATGTGCCACATTTTCTTAATCCAATCTATCATTGTTGGACATTTGGGTTGGTTCCAAGTCTTTGCTATTGTGAATAGTGCCGCAATAAACATACGTGTGCATGTGTCTTTATAGCAGCATGATTTATAGTCCTTTGGGTATATACCCAGTAATGGGATGACTGGGTCAAATGGTATTTCTAGTTCTAGATCCCTGAGCAATCGCCACACTGACTTCCACAAGGGTTGAACTAGTTTACAGTCCCACCAACAGAGTAAGTGTTCCTATTTCTCCACATCCTCTCCAGCACCTGTTGTTTCCTGACTTTTTAATGGTTGCCATTCTAACTGGTGTGAGAAGTATCTCATTGTGGTATTGATTTGCATTTCTCTGATAGCCAGTGATGGTGAGCATTTTTTCATGTGTTTTTTGGCTGCATAAATGTCTTCTTTTGAGAAGTGTCTGTTCATGTCTTTTGCCCACTTTTTGATGGGGTTGTTTTTTTCTTGTAAATTTGTTTGAGTTCATTGTAGATTCTGGATATTAGCCCTTTGTCAGATGAGTAGGTTGCAAAAATTTTCTCCCATTTTGTAGGTTGCCTGTTCACTCTGATGGTAGTTTCTTTTGCTGTGCAGAAGCTCTTTAGTTTAATTAGATCCCATTTGTCAATTTTGGCTTTTGTTGCCATTGCTTTTGGTGTTTTAGACATGAAGTCCTTGCCCATGCCTATGTCCTGAATGGTAATGCCTACGTTTTCTTCTAGGGTTTTTATGGTTTTAGGTCTAACGTTTAAGTCTTTAATCCATCTTGAATTAATTTTTGTATAAGGTGTAAGGAAGGGATCCATTTTCAGCTTTCTACATGTGGCTAGCCAGTTTTCCCAGCAACATTTATTAAATAGGGAATCCTTTCCCCATTTCTTGTTTTTCTCAGGTTTGTCAAAGATCAGATAGTTGTAGATATGCGGCATTATTTCTGAGGGCTCTGTTCTGTTCCATTCATCTATATCTCTGTTTTGTTACCAGTACCATGCTGTTTTGGTTACTGTAGCCTTGTAGTATAGTTTGAAGTCAGGTAGCGTGATGCCTCCAGCTTTGTTCTTTTGGCTTAGAATTGACTTGGCAATGTGGGCTCTTTTTTGGTGCCATATGAACTTTAAAGTAGTTTTTTTCCAATTCTGTGAAGAAAGTCATTGGTAGCTTGATGGGGATGGCATTGAATCTATAAATTAACTTGGGCAGTATGGCCATTTTCATGATATTGATTCTTCCTACCCATGAGCATAGAATGTTCTTCCATTTGTTTGTATCCTCTTTTATTTCATTGAGCAGTGGTTTGTAGTTCTCCTTGAAGAGGTCCTTCACGTCCCTTGTAAGTTGGATTCCTTGGTATTTTATCTTTTTGAAGCAATTGTGAATGGGAGTTCACTCATGATTTGGCTCTCTGTTTGTCTGTTATTGGTGTATAAGAATGCTTGTGATTTTTGTGCATTGATTTTGTACCCTGAGACTTTGCTGAAGTTGCTTATCAGCTTAAGGAGATTTTGGGCTGAGACAATGGGGTTTTCTAGATATACAATCATGTCATCTGCAAACAGGGACAATTTGACTTCCTCTTTTCCTAATTGAATACCCTTTATTTCCTTCTTCTGCCTAATTTCCCTGGCCAGAACTTCCAACACTATGTTGAATAGGAGTGGTGAGAGAGGGCATCCCTGTCTTGTGCCAGTTTTCAAAGGGAATGCTTCCAGTTTTTGTCCATTCAGTATGATATTGGCTGTGGGTTTGTCATAAATAGCTCTTATTATTTTGAGATACGTCCCATCAATACATAATTTATTGAGAGTTTTTAGCATGAAGGGTTGTTCAATTTTGTCAAAGGCCTTTTCTTCATCTATTGAGATAATCATGTGGTTTTTGTCTTTGGTTCTGTTTATATGCTGGATTACATTTATTGATTTGCATATATTGAACCAGCCTTGCATCCCAGGGATGAAGTCCACTTGATCATGGTGGATAAGCTTTTTGATGTGCTGCTGGATTCGGTTTGCCAGTATTTTATTGAGGATTTTTGCATCAATGTTCATCAAGGATGTTGGTCTAAAATTCCCTTTTTTGGTTGTGTCTCTGCCCGGCTTTGGTATCAGGATGATCCTGGCCTCATAAACTGAGTTAGGGAGGATTCCCTCTTTTTCTATTGATTGGAATAGTTTCAGAAGGAATGGTACCAGTTTCTCCTTGTACCTCTGGTAGAATTTGGCTGTGAATCCATCTGGTCCTGGACTCTTTTTGGTTGGTAAGCTATTGATTACTGCCACAGTTACAGAGCCTGTTATTGGTCTATTCAGAGATTCAACTTCTTCCTGGTTTAGTCTAGGGAGGGTGTATGTGTTGAGGAATTTATCCATTTCTTCTAGATTTTCTAGTTTATCTGCATAGAGGTGTTTGTAGTATTCTCTGATGGTAGTTTGTATTTCTGTGGGATTGGTGGTGATATCCCCTTTATCATTTTTTATTGCGTCTATTTGATTCTTCTCTCTTTTCTTCTTTATTAGTCTTGCTAGAGGTCTATCAATTTTGTTGATCGTTTCAAAAAACCAGCTCCTGGATTCATTAATTTTTTGAAGGGTTTTTTGTGCCTCTATTTCCTTCAGTTCTGCTCTTAGTTATTTCTTGCCTTCTGCTAGCTTTTGAATGTGTTTGCTCTTGCTTTTCTAGTTCTTTTAATTGTGACGTTAGGGTGTCAATTTTGGATCTTTCTTGCTTTCTCTTGTGGGCATTTAGTACTATAAATTTCCCTCTACACATTGCTTTGAATGTGTCCCAGAGATTCTGGTATGTTGTGTCTTTGTTCTCATTGCTTTCAAAGAACATCTTTATTTCTGCCTTCATTTTCTTATGTACCCAGTAGTCATTCAGGAGCAGGTTGTTCAGTTTCCATTTAGTTGAGCAGTTTTGAGTGAGTTTCTTAATCCTGAGCTCTACTTTGAGTGCACTGTGGTCTTAGAGACAGTTTGTTATAATGTCTGATCTTTTACATTTGCTGAGGAGAGCTTTACTTCCAAGTATGTGGTCAATTTTGGAATAGGTGTGGTGTGGTGCTGAAAAAAATGTATATTCTGTTGAATTGGGGTGGATAGTTCTGTAGATGTCTATTAGGTCTGCTTGGTGCAGAGCTGAGTTCAATTCCTTGGTATCCTTGTTAACTTTCTGTCTCGTTGATCTGTCTAATGTTGACAGTGGGGTGTTAAAGTCTCCCATTTTTATTGTGTGGGAGTCTAAGTCTCTTTGTAGGTCACTCAAGACTTGCTTTATGAATCTGGGTGCTCCTGTATTGGGTGTATATATATTTAGGATAGTTAGCTCTTCTTGTTGAATTGATCCCTTTACCATCATGTAATGGCCTTCTTTGTCTCTTTTGATGTTTGTTGGTTTAAAGTCTGTTTTATCAGAGACTAGGATTGCAACCCCTGCCTTTTTTTGTTTTCCATTTGCTTGGTAGATCTTCCTCCATCCTTTTATTTTGAGCCTGTGTGTGTCTCTGCAGGTGAGATGGGTTTCCTGAATACAGCACACTGATGGGTCTTGACTCTTTATCCAATTTGCCAGTCTGTGTCTTTTAATTGGAGCATTTAGCCCATTTACATTTAAAGTTAATATTGTTATGTGTGAATTTGATCCTGTCATTATGATGTTAGCTGGTTATTTTGCTCGTTAGTTGGTGCAGTTTCTTCCTAGCCTCGATGGTCTTTACAATTTGGCATGATTTTGCAGTGGCTGGTACCGGTTGTTCCTTTCCATGTTTAGTGCTTCCTTCAGGAGCTCTTTTAGGGCAGGCCTGGTGGTGACAAAATCTCTCAGCATTTGCTTGTCTGTAAAGTATTTTATTTCTCCTTCATTTATGAAGCTTAGTTGGGCTGGATATGAAATTCTGGGTTGAAAATTCTTTTCTGCAGACACCGCTGCTGGTACCCAGGCAAACAAGGTCTGGAATAGACCTCTAGCAAACTCCAACAGACCTGCAGCTGAGGGTCCTTTCCGTTAGAAGGAGAACTAACAAACAGAAAGGACATCCACACCAAAAACCCATCTGTACATCACCATCATCGAAGACCAAAAGTAGATAAAACCACAAAGATGGGGAAAAAACAGAGCAGAAAAACTGGAAACTCTAAAAAGCAGAGTGCCTCTCCTCCTCCAAAGGAACGCAGCTGCTCACTGGCAATGGAACAAAGCTGGATGGAGAATGACTTTGACGAGTTGAGAGAAGAAGGCTTCAGACGATCAAACTACTCCGAGCTACAGGAGGAAATTCAAACCAAAGGCAAAGAAGTTGAAAACTTTGAAAAAAAATTTAGACAAATGTATAACTAGAATAACCAATACAGAGAAGTGCTTAAAGGAGCTGATGGAGCTGAAAGCCAAGGCTCGAGAACTATGTGAAGAATGCAGAAGCCTCAGGAGCCGATGCAATCAACTGGAAGAAAGGGTTTCAGTGATGGAAGATGAAATGAATGAAATGAAGCGAGAAGGGAAGTTTAGAGAAAAAAGAATAAAAAGAAACGAACAAAGCCTCCAAGAAATGTGGGACTATGTGAAAAGACCAAATCTACGTCTGATTGGTGTACCTGAAAGTGACGGGGAGAATGGAACCAAGTTGGAAAACACTGCAGGATATTATCCAGGAGAACTTTCCCAATCTAGCAAGGCAGGCCAACATTCAGATTCAGGAAATACAGAGAACACCACAAAGTTACTCCTCGAGAAGAGCAACTCCAAGACACATAATTGTCAGATTCACCAAAGTTGAAATGAAGGAAAAAATGTTAAGGGCAGCCAGAGAGAAAGGTTGGGTTACCCACAAAGGGAAGCCCATCAGATTAACAGCGGATCTCTCGACAGAAACTCTACAAGCCAGAAGAGAGTGGGGGCCAATATTCAACATTCTTAAAGTTTATTTGTTTTCTTACATTCTTTCCTGGTTTTGGTATTGGGGTGATACTTGCTTCATAGGATAATTTAGAAAGGATTGTCTCTTTGTCTATCTGTTGGTATAGTTTCAGTAATATTGGTACTAATTCTTTTTTGAACGTCTCTTAGAATTCAGCTGGACTCTTTTGTTGGCAATTTTTTTATTACTGTTTTAATCTCTACTTGCTGTGGGCCTGCTCAGGGTTTCTATTTCTCTTTTGTTTAACCTAAGAGGATTGTACATTTCCAGGAATTTTTCCATCTCCTGTAGGTTTTCTAGTTTGTGAGCCCAAAAGTGTTCATAGTAACTTTGAATGGTCTTTTTTATTTCTGTGGTATTAGTTGTAATATCTCCCATTTCATTTCTAATCTAGCTTATTTGGATCTTCTGTCTTCTTTTCTTGGTTAATCTTGTTAGTGGTCTATAAATGTGTTTATCTTTTCAAAACCCTGTTTTGTTTCATTTACCTTTTGTATTTTTTTTGTTTCAATTTTATTAGTTCTTTTCTGATATTTGCTATGTCTTTTCTTCTGCTGGGTTTGGGTTTGGTTTGTTCTTCTTTCTTTAATTCCTCAAGGTGTGACCTTAGATTGTCCATTTGTGCTCTTTCAGACTTTTTATATGTGGGCATTTAATGCTGTGAACTTTTAGCACCACTTTTGCTGTATCCCAGTGGTTTTTTGTAGGTTGTGTCACTATTATCATTCAGTTTAAAGTAGTTTTTAATTTCCATCTTGATTTCATTGTTAACTCAAAGATCATTCCGGAGCAGACTATTTAATGTCCTTGTATTTGTATCATTTTGAGGGTCCCTTTTGTACTTAATTTCCAATTTTATTTCCCTGTGTTCTGAGAGGGTACTTGATGTAACTTTGATTTTCTTTAATTTATTCAGATTTGTTTTGTGGCCTATCATATGCTCTATTTTGGGGAATGTTTGATGTGTTGATGAAAATAGTGTATATTCTGCATTTGTTGGGTTGGGTAGAATGTTCTTTAAATATCTGTTAAATTCATTTGCTCTAAGGAATAATTCAAGTCCATTGTTTCTTTGTTGAATTTCTATTTCTTTTTCTTTTTCTTTTTTCTTTTCTTTTTTTTTTTTTTTCCTGAGACAGTCTGACTCTGTCACCCAGGCTGGAGTACAGTGGCATGATCTTGGCCCACTGCAACCTCCCCCTCCTGGGCTCAAGCGATTCTGGTGCCTCAGTCTCATGCGTGCCTCAGTCTCGTGATTACAGGATTACTCCTGTAATCCCAGGGTAGCTGGGATTACAGGTGTGTGCCACTGTGCTTAGCTAATTTTTGTAGTTTTAGTAGAGATAGGGTTTCACCATGTTGGCTAGTCTGGACTCAGGACATCTGCTTAGCCAGGATGTTGCAGGCAGTGAAGTTAACTGACATTTTCTCTTTTCTTAAAGCAGAGTTATTTTGTCATGAGTTGCTGTAATAGCTTGAGTTGGTTGGCCTCCAGTCAGAAGGTGGCACTTACAAGAGAGCCCCAACTGTGGTAATAGAAGCCAGATATAAATTTGCCCTAAATTGGCCAAGATAAGTATTGGAGTTTCTCAGGTGATAGGCAGATACATAAAACTCTCAAGTGTTTATGTCTTTTGTGTTCGGCAACCAGGGTGGGCAGTGAAAAACCATTAGGCCGGGGCAGAGTCTGAGCTCAGGTGCTCCCTGGGCAGGGCTTGCTGCAGACACTGTGGGGGAGGCAGGGGTGGTTCTCAGGCTAATACAATTATGTTCCAAGGGGGATTATGGCTTCCTGTGCTGCATTATACAGGTCACCAGGGAGGGGGGAGGAAGCCAGCAGTGACAACCTCACCCATGCAGCCAGCAAGGCCTGTCTTATTCCCATTGCGAACCACCAACAGTGTCAAGTTTATAGACAAGCAGCCCATGTGCAGGGCTCAGAATTTGCTCTAGGCTACAAGCCTCCTCACTGAGAAAGCAAGCATGGCTTTCAGGCTTTGCCCCTCCTTACTTGCCAATGCCATCGGCCACAGCTCCTGTGCTTCCCTGAACCACCAAATTCTGCTCAAGAAAATTCATGCTCAATTGAAATTATTACAAAGTCCCGTTGGAAGCTTCATTTATCCTGTGACCCCTCCCTAGTTCTGCTGGCTGCCTTCCCCAAGAACCCCTATGAGATAAAGTCAGGGATGGCTTCCCTGGGCTTGAGCGGGAGACTAGGAGTGCCTCCAGTACTCCTTCCACTACTTCTTCTACTTTAATAATTTGTTTGGCTCCCTAAATCTGTTTCAGCTCTAGGTAAGTTTAAATCCTTTTCCTGTGATCCAGATTTTCAGGTTCCCCAGTAGGGATGTGTGTTTGGAGGCAGGTTTTCCCTTTTCACACTTTGGAAACTCAATTTTGAAGCAGTCTCACAGAGCTTGCAGAGGAAAACCGCATCTTTCACGAGACCTGTGAGCTGGTCTTCCTGGCACATTCCTACAGTGGTTCTTAAGGCAAAAGTTCATGGTGTAAGTCTCCACATGCTTTTCTGTTCCTCCAAGTGGAAGCTGTATGTTTGTCCTGTCTCCTATCTGCCATTTCCCCCCTTTTAGCATTTAAACAATCACATCAAGCCTCAAGTAGTAAATATCTCCTGGAAAATATTAATATTAATTTATTTACAAAATCTGTTTGAATCATAAGCTTTAGAGATGTTCAACATGTTAAAAGGTATTTTATAGTTTGTTCAGTGTTTCTAAGTCTTCCATACTCCATATTATTCCAATTTAAATTTCAGAATTGACTTACAGTATCTTATGACAATTTAAGGTTGCATGTGTATTCTCATTTTTTATATAAATTTAAACTTCAATTTTTTTCATCAATTAAATCTCAGATCCCTAGAGTGTCAAATTTAAAATCTAGTCAAGTGAAACCAATTAAGCAATTAAGTCTGACCACTCAGTGAACTTGTTTTTTTTTTGTTTTTTTGTTTTTTTGTTTTTTTGTTTTAGTTCAGTCTTTTCCCCTGAACTTCCAGCTTTTTCTGTTTTACTTTATTCTACTATAATGTTATGTAGGTTTTGATGTAGTTAAAAATCACCCTCAGCTATAAAGATAGACTATCACTGACCCATGAAATCAGTATAACCCCATTACCCTTCCAGGAAATTTACCTAAACTGGTTCATAGTAAAGCTCAGGGTATATAATCAGAATAGAAAAGGGAAAGCCTTTTTCTTTGAAAATAATACTTTCAAGGTAATCCATACAAAAGCAAAAACACTCATTTTTGATTAGATATCTGAAATTGCTTCTGCCATTTTTGGGAAGTCATCCTCAGGCCAGATCCATATGTGGAAAGTGGAAGATCTAGAAATGTGTTAGATAATTAGAATTCTTTGTTAAGTATAATGTTGGAGTCAAACCATGTTTAAATTTAAATATACCTCTGGACTTTCTTGTTACATAGACTAACAAATTATGTTTCTTAATCAAGCCTGTTTAAGTCATTTTCTAACAATAAAATGGTTCTTAATCTGATAAACAATTTTAAAATTGTATGGTGCTAATTACCAGAAAGTGAGTTTTTCATAAAGAAAGGTGATTAAGCCAGGTAGAATTATGTGTAGAAGAATTAATTAAAAAATAAGTCTTTATCAAAAAAGTAGTTTCTCATTTGTGTCTAAAACAAGAACTACATATGGAAAGAAGAAGGGGTAGCACTATTACAGGAGACATTATGTCTATGGTGCCTTTTGTTAGCATCATCTACTATTTCTTCTCTGTGTTTCAGTTATAATTGCTGTTACTCCAACCCTGGAATTAATTTGTTCTACTTTTTTTTTTTTTTTTGAGATGGAGTCTCACTCTGTCGCCAAGGCTGGAGTGCAGTGGCACCATGTCAGCTCACTGCAACCTCCGTCTCCTATATTCAAGCAATTCTCCTGCCTCAGCCAATTGAGTAGCTTGGATTACAAGCGCCCACCACCACGCCTGGCTAGTTTTTATATTTTTAGTAGAGACGGGGTTTAACCATGTTGGCCAGGCTTGTCTCGAACTCCTGACTTCAGGGGATCTGCCTGCCTTGGCCTCCCAAAATGCTAGGATTACAGGCATGAGTCACTGCGCCCGGCCAATTTGATCTACTTTTAACTAGCAATTAGGCAATATAAGTACAGTAATAGTGAAACTGTGACCAGAACACTAGGGGTTTGGTTTAGGTCCTACTGCTCATTTCACAGAGAGCCAATCGCTGAGATGCTGAGTATTGCTAAGGAAGAAGGCTTTAATTGGGTGCTGCAGCCGAGGAGATGGGAGCTCAGTCTCAATTCCATCTCCATAGCTAACTAAAACTAGAAGTTTATGTAGTAGGAAAAAAATGTGCAATGTGTAAGAAAGAAGGAACTGTGGAGGTCAAGGGAGCAATCATGATGAATGAGGGGTCCAAAACCTTGTAGTCTAGTTGTCCTGATCTGATGAGTTTCAGTTCTTTGATACCTTTTTTTAGAGGACCGAAGGTCATTTCCTAAGGAAGGAACTCAGATAAAATAAATATCAGTTTTAAGCTTTAAGATCAGAAAGGTCAATTTCTATGTTTATCCACAATAAACTATCTATGGGACTAGTGGGTAAGTTTTAAAACTGGCTCAGTTTTCCCATAGGACTGATGAACTGTTTATGTATGGTTTCTTTCTTTTTTTCTTTCTTCTTCTTCTACTTTTTTTTTTTTTTTTTTTGGAGACAGAGTCTTGCTCTGTTGCCCAGGCTGGAATACCCTGGAGTGATCTTGACTCACTGCAATCTTCGCCTCCTGGGTTCAAGTGATTCTCCTGCCTCAGCCTCTCGAGTAGCTGGGACTATAGGTGTGTGCCACAACATCTGGCTAATTTTTGTATCCTTCAGTAGAGAAGGGGTTGCTCCCTGTTGGCCAGGCTGTTCTTAAACGCCTGGCCTCAAGTGTTCCGTTTGCTTTGGCCTCCCAAAGTGCTTGAATTACAGGTCTGAACCACTGAACCCAGCCTATGGTTTATTTTGAATAAGCATAGAAATCAATCCTCCCATTTTTATAACTGGAGAAAGTTTCATTTGTCTTATTTGAGTTCTTTTCTCAGAAAACCCACCCCCAGGCCTCCCAAATAGTATCAAAGAACTGAAACTTACCAGATCATTGCATCTGGACAAGAAGACACCAACCCCTCACTCATCATGATTGTCTGAGTTACCACCTACTTCTTTTTGATGCACTTCTCTTTCTTGCTCCTCCCTAATTCCTGTTTTCCTACATGTAGTTACATTTTATCCCTGCTATATAAACCCCTGATTTTAGTTGGTTAGGGAAACGAATTTGAGAATGATCTCCCATCTTCTCATCTGAAACACCTAATTAAAGCCTTCTTCATTAGCAGTATTCATTGCCACAAGGTTTGGCTTTCTGTGCCACAAACAGAAGGATCTAGATAAAACTCCTTGTATTTCAGTAACAATAGCACTTGATTATAGGTTTCCATACATTTATTGATAACAGAAATGGGAACAAATAAGTGTTTATAGACTATATGATACTTCTTTTAAGAATTTATAATTACCTTACAAAAAACATATCTCTCAAAGTTATTATCTGTGAAGGGAAAGCTATATGTTCATGGTATGATTATACTGGAAAGATACACCAAGGATGTTAAAACAGAAAATCGTAGAAAGCTATACACACACACACGTACGTATATATTTAGGGATTTTTTGTGTATACATACATATATATATATATATATACACGGAAAAAGAAAAGCATACATGAATTATATTTATCCTCAGATGACATAATCATTTATGTAGAAAATTCCTAATAAGCTATATATAAAAAAATCTTGGCATTTATAAATGAATTTAGCACTGCTGCAGAGAAAAGACAATATACAAAAGTCAATTGCCTTTTTCATATAACTAGTGGACAACTGAAATATAGAATTTAAAAGAAAATCACTATATATTAAAAAATAAAGTACTTTTGTGTAAATCAAAAAGTAAACACGGGCAGGATCTATATGTGGAAAACTACAAAATTGTGATCAATGAAATAAAGAAGATCTAAATAAGCCCTTGTCAGTGGATTAAACACTTAATATTGTTAGGATAACCTTGTCTTTAATTTGATTTATAGATTCAACACAATTTCAATCAAAATTCCAGCAAACTTTTTTGCAGACTTTAAGAAACTTTTTCTAAAATTTATATGGAATGTCAAAGGAACTAGAATAGCCAAAACAACTCTGAAAATTAACAAATAAAAACAAGCTTGGGGATTCATAATATCTGAATTTAAGAATAATATAAATCTATGGTAATTGATCTAGTATGGTAGAGATAAAAGGATAGATCAATGGAAAAACTAGAGTTTAGAATTAGACCCAAACAATGGAGGAAGGAAAATATTTTCATCAAATGGTGTTACAACAGTTGGGATTTCCTATGCAAAAATAAAGGAACCTTGCCATGTAGCTGACACATTGTACCAAAATTTACTCAAAACAGATAATAAACTGAAATGTAAAATATAGACCTACTTAAAACTGTCTGAAGAAAACAAAGTGAATCTGCATGACTTTGACTTGATAATTAATTTTCAGATATAACACCAGAAGCACAGTCTTTGAAACAAAAACATAATAGAAATAATAGACTAAAAAAAAGGAAAAATAGTAACCTTAGAGTAAACATTTTGGCAAACATTGTCTTAACCAAGTAATCAAGGTTAACATTTAGCAGTGATGTCAGGTAGCTATCAATACCCACTGACATGATGTAATGGAAAGGACATTTCCTTCTGTTGCATTCTTTCCAAAAACCTGTAACACGTGTCCAATCCTTAGGTAAACCAAAATCATCAGTCAATCTCTTATTGAGGGTCATTCTATGAAATATCAGACCATAACCCCTCAAAAATCTCAGTCATTAAAAATAAGAAAAGACAGAAAAACTGTCACAGACCAGAAGACATTAAGGGATTGTTATAACTAAATGAAATATGATATCCCGGACAAAATTCTACAACAGAAAAAAAGGCATTGGAAAAATAGATGAAGTTGAAATAAAGCCTAGAGTTTAGTTCAAAAACATTGGTGAATCTATGTGAAGGGTATAAAGGTGTTGTACTTTTTAAAAACCCTCTTTTCAAGTTGTTTACATAGGAACTTATTTAGATTTATATATTTTCATTCAATATCATAGCAAAAATATTACTACTGACATGGAGAGAAAATTTTGGCTCTAAGAAATTGTCATACCTTGTAATTCATTTCAGTAAACCTTATTATAGTATACAAAATTTATTAGAAATTAAAACTGAATAGAATGATGTTTGTGAAAACAATTATTTAATATTTCTGAATATAAACAGTAAAGTAATATAACAAGATATAACACTCTGATTTCATTTTTAACAATTTACGTTAAGTGTTTAGTGTCATTCTTTTTTTTTCCTTTTAACACTTCGTGAAATGTTAGTGAAATGTGCAGTGCAGTATTATTCCTGTGGATTAATGGAGAAGCAACTTCTGCTTCCTATTATGGTCATTCTTGAAATAGGGAAAATATGGTCATTCTTGAAATGTACAAAAAATAAAAAATATTCTTTAAAATAATAATAATAGAACAAAATATGTATGCATTTGCACATTACAAACTACCACTGAAAGAGGAGGCTTTTGGTTGATGTTAATATAATGCCATTCAGTTGAGTCATGGGAACAAATGTCTCACTAGTTATCTTCTTATGAAACAGAAATTATTTGATTTATCTCTGTACAAGGATTTTCCATTTTGCCTGCTCATAAACTTTCAAACGTTTTCTCTTCAACCAAGATAGTAAAAAAAATACGTTAGATTTTCAGCCAGTTTTTACCTATCAGGATATGTGCTTTTATATAATGTGAATATCTTTCAACACTTGTTGGATGATGGTTGCTGCTCAGGTAGCTCCCTCTTGTTCATGTCCTCAGCTCCTCCAGTTTTCCTCTTTCCCTCACCCCTGCTTCACTGTAAAACTCCCACAAAACTATCAATAAGATAAGTAATTTCTGGGATATAGAATATTTCTCAAAACTTTACTCTCTAATTATACCTGGCTAATTGGACACCTGTATTGAGTACTGTTATGGTCTGAAAGTTTGTGCCTCCTCACCAAATTCATACGATGAAGGCTTAACCCCCAATGTGATGGTATTGGAGGTAGGTGCCTTGGAAGGTATTTAGGTTTAGATCATGAGAATGAGACCCTTATAGTGGGATTACTCCCCTTATTAGGAGAGAGAGAGAGACAGAGACAGACAGACAGAAAGAGAGAGAGAGATCTCCAGGTGTGTGCACTGAGAAAAGGCCATGTGAGGATGTATCAAAAAGATGGCCATCTGCATACCAAGAAGAGACCCCTCAACAAGCACCAAACTTTCTGTTGCCTTGATCGTAAACTTTCCAGCCTCACAAACTGTGAGAAATACTCAATTTGTAAACCATTTAGTGTCTGGTATGTTGTTATAGCAGCCTGAGCTAACTAAGTATAATCCATAGTATTAATCTATTAGAGAGAAAATATTCTGTAGACCAGCATTTCCCCAATTGTGTGAGACAGATCTGGGAAATAGTAATATGTGTAAAAACAGAAAGCATAGAGAGTTCTTGTAGAAATACATGTGTTAATAACTTTTTTCTTGTTTGGAAGATTCACATACACATAAACTTTTAAGCCTCAGAGATACATTTTGGTAAAGAGAATCTGTTTTGCTTTGAATAACCTGGTGATTCAATGATGTATTTGAACAGGTAACATTTTGTTAAGGGTCATCTATTTATTAGTCAAAGAGCATTATCATGTAATGCTGTATATAACACAAAATAAAACTTCTGCTATGAACAGCATTTTAAAATTCCATTTATTCATTGATGTCAAATACACTTGAACAATATTTAGATAAATTAAATTTATAAGATGAAGAGATATTTCATTATTCTTAGCACTGTTTAGGTGAGAGCTGCATGTTGACCATCAAGATAGAAACTAGGTATTATATTACATAACCTATCTTACTGTCTTGAGGAATCTCCTTTATTCTTGAAAAATTTTATAAATACATTATTAAGAAAAATTATATTTAAAATAAAATAATCAAACTCACAATACTAATTCCTTTCTTTTCTTTTCTTTTTTCTTTCTCTTTTTGACGGAGTCTTGCTCTGTCACCAGGCTGGAGTGCAGTGGCCTGATCTCGGCTCACTGCAACCTCTGTCTCCTGGGTTCAAGAGATTCCCCCTGCCTCAGCCTCTGAGTAGCTGGGACTACAGGCATGCGCCATCATGCCCGGCTAATTTTTTTTTTTGTATTTATTATTATTATTATTATTATTATCATCTTTTTTTGGATTTTAACTTAATGTAGACACGGGGTTTCACCATGTTGGCCAGGATGATCTTGATCTCCTGGCCTGGTGATCCATCCGCCTCAGCCTCCCAAAATGAAGGGATTACAGGCGTAAGCCACCGTGCCCAGCCTTACTTCATGAATTTTAATGGCTTATTAGATTATAGAATCAAGGACCTGTTGCAGCATATTTTTCTTGAATATGTGACTTGCATATTTGAAAATGAGCAATATTTCGAGTTTAGGCTAATACTAGGATTCTTCATTGGAATACGGATAAAAGAAAGGTTAATCAGATTGGATTTACACATCCTTTAATAAGGATAGGGATGAGTACTGGCCTGTAAGTCTCCAAATCAGAGGTCCTGAGAGAATGAATTTGCTGATAGACAAAGCAGAGAATCCCAAGTGTTAAGATAATTGAATTTTAGATTTTAATAATTCATAGCAGAAATCTCAGAAACTGTGGGTAAATCAAATTGGTTATACTCTTGAATACTCATAATTATATAATGGGGATCTTATCATCAGGAGTGAGTTTTACAAGAAAAAGCGTATTAGGTCTTAAGATGCTGATTAATCAATTAGGAATTGTGAACAAAAAATATACAGCATTCCAGTTATCTTTATTATCAAAGAAAACCTAAAAAAAAATTATAGTAGCAAGAAATAGCAGGAGTAGATTTGCCTAATTATTTATGCCCTGGGTTACTCTGAGGACAGACTTGCTATGTAAAATATCCACCACAGTGTCTTCCCATAATACATTATAGTATTTTCCCTTTTAATAGAGCTGGGGCCAGGGAACAATGTTTCCATTCATTCCGGCTGTGAAGGCTGGAAACCTATGCGATCTGAAGTGTAGGCAAGAGATGACTGCCTGTGAACATGGAATTGCATGCTGGTGATGCGGTAGATAACACAAGGTTTAAACACAAACATATATTTTGATAAATACTTTGTAAGGAGTTTCAATTAGTTTGGCAAAATATGTTGCACATCTCAGAAAATAATTTATCAAAATATACGTTTCAACAAAAGTTTCTGTTAAAATTACATGAAACATCAAATTATAAAATTTTTCAGCAAATTACCGGCTAAGAGCCTTAGGTTTTAGAATAAGTGTTTAGTAATTTTGGAGAGGCCTTTTTGTATAGTAGATTAGAAAAACTATCAGGCAACTATATTATTTTTTAAATTATGAAGCAGGAATGATAGTACTCATTATGAGATGTCAAAGTATGAGCCATGGTTTAGTTTGGACTTAAAAGATAATGAAGTATTGCCACGGACAGTTGTACATTATCTGTTCTATTATGTAACATTTGAATTGAAAATCATTAAACATTATAAATAAAAACATAAATGCAATGCATTGCCTAGAATTATATTACTTAATGATATCATGTGATTTAGCTGTGAGATAAAAATGAAAAGAAACAAATATACTGTAAATTTTTTATGTGTACACCTACAGTGTTCTTAGATGCAGTCTTGATTTGAGTTGTAGTATAGTTTTTGTAAATTATTAACATATTTATTTTATTATTAAGGATTTGTTAACAGAAGATGAAGTGGGAAAATTGAGTGAAATTATATTTGTTAAGTGTGTCTCAGCTCATTCTTTTCTAGGCTAAGTAGCATGATTGCCAATTATTTTTACGTTTGTTATATTCAGAGCTAAATCATGAAATAAATGTTTCATTTTCATTTTTTCAGCAAACTTGATAAATTTTATGTGTTTTTTAAAATTTTCTTTATTTTTATTTTTTGTGGGTACAGAGTTGGTGTATTTATTATGGGGTACTTGAGATGTTTTGATACAGGCATGTAGTGTGAAATAAACATATCATGGACAATGGGGTATCCATCTCCTCAAACATTTAACCTTTGAGTTATAAACAATCCAATTACACTCTATTTTTAAATGTACAATTATTATTGACTATAGTCACCCTATTGTGCTATCAAGTAGTTGATCTTATTCATTATTTCTGTTTTTTGTACCCATTAACCATCTCCAACTCCTCCCCAGCCCACAACCCTTCTGTGCTTCTAAAAACTGTCCTTCTACTCTCTATATCCGTGAGTTTGTTTTGATTATTAGATTCTACAAATGAGAGAGAACCTGTGATATTTGTCTTCCTGTGGCTGGCTTATTTCACTTGACATGATGATCTCCAGTTCTATCCATGTTTCTCTAATGACTGCATTTCATTCCTTTTTATGGCTGAATAGCACTACATAGTGAATATGTACCACATTTTCTCTACACATTCATCTGTTGATGGACATGTAAGTTTCTTCCAAATCTTAGCTATTGTGAACAGTGCGGCAACTAACATAGGAGTGCAGATATCTCTTTGATATAATGATTTCCTTTCTTTGAGGTATATACCTAGCATTGTGATGTTGGATCATGTGGTAGCTCAATTTTTAGTTTTTTGAGGAACCTGCAAACTGTTCTCCATAGTGATTGTACTGATTTACATTCCCACTAACAGTATGTAAGGGTTCCTTTTTTCCACATCCTTGATTGCATTTGTTACTGCCTGTATTTTGGATAGAAGCCATTTTAACTGGAGTGGGATGATAATAATCTCATTATAGTTTTGATTTACATTGCCCAATAATATTGAGTATGTTTTTATATGTCTGCCATTTTTATGTATTCTTTTGAAAAAATGTCGATTAAAATCATTTGCCCATATTTTGACTGGATTATTAGATTTTTTTCCTATAGAATTATTTGAGCTCCTTACATATTCTGGTTATTATTCCCTTGCCAGATGAGGAGTTTGCAGATAAATTCTCCCATTCTGTGGTTTGTCTTTTTACTGAATTGATTGTATTGTTTTCTGTGCAGAAGCTTTTTAACTTAATGTGGTCCCATCTATCCATTTTTGTTTTGGGTCCCTGTATTTGTAGAGATCTTTGCCCAGAACAATGTAATGCAGATTGTCCTCAAAGTTTTTTTGAAGTAATTTTATAGTTTGAGGTTTTTGATTTAAGTCTTTAATTCAATTTGATTTGATCTTTCTATATATAGAGAGATGGGGATCTAGTTTTATTCTTCTGCGTATGGATATCCTGTTTTCCTAGCATAATTTATATAAGAGACTGTCCTTTCCACAGTATATGTTCTTGGCAATTTTTTCAAAAATGGATTTACTGTCAGTGTGTGAATGTGTTTCTTGGTTCTCTATTCTGTTCTGTCCCATTGGTCTATGTGTTGTCTATTCTATTCTGTTCCATTGGTCTATGTGTCTTTTTTTTTTTTTTTATCCCAGTACCATGCTGTTTTGTTTACTAGCTCTGTAGTACAATTTGAAGTCAGGTAATGTGATCCCTCCAGTTTTGTTCTTATTGCTCAGAATAGCTTTGGCTATTCTGGGTCTTTTTTAGTGCTATATAAATTTTAGGATTGTTTTTTCCGTTTCTGTAAAGAATGTTGGTATTTTAACAGGGATTGTATGGAATCTGTAGATTGCTTTGGGTATGTATGGACATTTCACAATATTGATAATTCCAATACATTAAAATGAAATATCTTTTAATTTTTTGGTGTCCTTTTCAAATTTTTTGATCAATGATTCATAGTTTTTATTATAGAGATCTTTTCTTTGGTTATTTTCTAGGAATTTAATTTTATATATGGCTGTTGTAAATTGGATTTTTTTTTATTTCTTGTTTGCCTTGTTTACTGTTGGAATACAGAAATACTACTGATTTTTATATGCTGATTTTATATCCTGAAACTTTACTAAATTTGTTTATCAATGCTCATAGTTTCATTCACAGTATCTTTAGATTTGTCCAAATATCATGCTATCTGCAAACAAGGATAAATTGACTACTTTCATTCCAATTTAGTTGTCTTTTATATCTTTCTCTTGTGTGATTGCTCTAGCTAGGACTTCCAGTACTATGTTGAATGATAGTGGTGACAGTGGGCATCCTTGTCATGTTCCAGATCTTAGATAAAATGCTTTCGCTTTTTTCCCTATTCAGTATGATATTATCTGTGGGTCAAATGTCTTTTCAGCATCAATTGAAATGATCAAATGGTTATCATTTTTCATTCTGTTGATATGATGTATCACATTGATTGATTTGCATATGTGGAACCATCCTTGCATCCCAGGGATAAATTCCGCTTGGTCATGGTGGAGTGATCTTTTTTAATGTACTGTTCAATTCAGATTGCTAGTATTTCAATGAGAATTTTTACATCAGTATTCATCAGATATATTAGCCTATAGTTTTCTGTTTTGTATGTATCTTTGTCTGGTTTGCGTATCATGGTTATACTGACCTGGTAGAATGACTATTTCCTCTCCCCTATTTTTCAGAATAGATTGAGTAGGATTGGTACTAATTTTTCTTTGAATGTTTGGTAGAATTCAGCCATGAATCCATTGGGCCCTGGAGTGTTGTTGTCGTTGTAGTTTTTGCCTGAAGATTTTTTTATTACAAATTCAATCTTGTTAATTGTTATTTAATTTTGTTAGGTTGTATGTTTCCAGGAATTTGCTCATTTCTTCTAGATTGGTTTTTGGTTTGAGGTTCCCATGATGCTTGCAAATACTCTTATAACCCATTATTTTAGGCTAATATCAACTGAGTTCTGTTTATATAGACAAACAAGAAAAAAAAAAACTAGTAAAAAATCATCACCTTAACTTTATACCTGCCCCACCTCCCACTTTTAATATTTTTGTTGTTTCTTTTTATATCTTATCGTATTATCTATGTCTTGAAAAGTTGTAGTTATTTTTTGATTGGATCATCAATTAGAGTTTCTACTTAGAGTAAGAATAGTTTAAACACCACAGTTACAGTGTTATAAGATTCTGTATTTTTCTGTGTACTTACTATCACCAGTGAATTTTGAACCTTCAGGTGATTACTTTTTGCTGATTAATGACCATTTCTTTTTAATTGAAGTATTCGAAATACTCTCTTTTGCATTTCTTGTAGGACAGACCTGGTGTTAATGAATTCCCTCAGCTTTTGTTTGTCTGTGAATTTCTTTATTTCTTCTTCATGTTTGAAGGATATTTTCACCAGATATACTATTCTATGATAAAAGTATTTGCCTTTAACACTTTAAATATGTCATGCCACTCTCTACTGATCTGTAAGATTTGCATGGAAAAGTCTGCTGCCAGAGTCATTGGAGCTCTAATGTACTTTATTTATTTATTTATTTATTTATTTATTTATTTATTTATTTATTTATTTTTGGTCTTGCTGATTTTAGAATCCCTTCTTTATCCTTCACCTTTCGGAGTTTGATTATTAAATGCCTTGAAGTAGTGTTCTTCCAGTTAAATCTGCTTGGTATTCTATTACCTTCTATTTGACTATTGATATCTTTCTCTAAGTTTCTGAAATTTTCTGTTATTATGCCTTTGAAAAAACTTTCTACCCTTAACTCTTTCTCCACCTCCCTTTAAGGCCAATAACTCCTAATTTGTTTGTTTGTTTGTCTTTGAGGCCATCTTCTAGATGTTGTAGGTGTTCTTACCTCTTTTTCTTCTTTTTTCTTTTGTCTCCTTCAACTATGTATTTTCTAATATCCTGTCTTCAGGCTCCCCAATTCTTTTTTCCACTTAATCAATTCTGCTATTAAAGGACTTTTACGGATTCTTCAGTATGCCAATTACATTTTTTAGCTCCAATATTTCTGCTTAATTCTTTTTAATTTCTTCAATCTCTTTGTCAAATTTATCTGATGGAATTCTGAATTCATTTTCTGTGTTATCTTGAATTTCTTTGAGTTTCCTCAACACAGCTCTTTTGAATTCTCTGTCTTAAAGGTCACATATCTCTGTTTCTCCAGGATTGGTCCCTGATCTGTTACCTAGTTTATTTGGTGTAGTCATGTTTTCCTGAATGGTGTTGATGCTAGTAGATGTTCTTCAGTGTCTGGGCATTGAAGAATTAGGTATTTATTGTAGTCTTGACTGTAGAACTTATTTTGCAGCCATCTTTCTTGGGAAGAGTTTCTAGATATGTGAAAAGGCTTGGGTGCTATGATCTAAGCTATATCTCCTTTATGGTGCATGCCAAGGGCAGTAATGTAGTTCTTGCGGACTTACAGAGATACTGCTTTGATGGTCTTGGACAAGTTCTGGGAAAATTATCTGTATTTCCAGGCAGAGATTCTTGTTCTCTTCCCTTACTTTCTACTAAATGAACGGAGTTTCTCTCTCTGTTCTGACCCACCTAAAGCTGGGGGTGGAGTGGCATACACATCCTTGTGGCCACCACCACTTTGGGTGCACTGGGTCAGACCTGAAGCCAGCACAGCACTTGATCTCACCCAAGGCCTGTTATAACCACTACCTGGCTACTGCCTATGTTTGCTCAAGGCCCTGGGGCTCTATAATTAGTCAGTGCCAAAGAAAAGTCAGATCTTTGTTATTCCTGTCAGGGTGCCAGGTCCCCTAGGCCCCAGAGGGGTCCAGAGTTGCTGCCTATCAGTCAAGGACTACAGATAAAAACCTTAGAAGTCTACCCGGTGTTCTGTTGTACTGCTGGAGGGCTGGCACTCTAACCACAACATGCAATCCTTCCCAGTCTTTCCTTTTCTTTCTAAAGGCAGAAGAGCCTTACCCCTTAGCCACTGCCACCCCAGGCCAAAAGGAATACTGCCAAACTATAGGTGATGCTCCCTTAAGGCCAAAGGTCTCTTAAGTCAGCTTCTGTTGAATGCTGCCTGTCCTGGCACTCATCTTTCAGGGCAGTGAGCTTCCCTCTGGCCCAGCACCAGTCAAGGTATGCCATCCAAGAGTCAAGTACTGGAATTAAGAACACCAAGAGCCTGCTGTAAACCCCTGTGGCTGTGATGGTACCTAAGGTTCAAGACCAAGTCCCCTTTACTTTTCCTCTGCTTTTCTCAAATAGAAGGGGTTTTGCTCATTACTACTGCAGTTGGTAATGTGCTGAGTCTCCCCTGAAGCCAGCAAGTCTCAGAAGCTCACCCAAGGCACTCAACATAATACCTTGATATTGCTGCTGGTTATTCAAAGCCCAAAGAATCTTCAGTTAGCAAATGATGAATGCTGTCAGAAACAGGTTTTTTTCTTTAAAGCAATGAGTTCTCCTCTTGCCCATGGTTTGTCTAAAAACGTCATCTGGCTGCTAAGGTCTGCAAGGCAGGGGCTTCAAACTCTGACCAGTGCCCTATCTTCCCATGGTTGAGCTGGTATCCAAGGTGCAAGACAAAGTCCTTCTCAATCTTCTCTCTCGTCTCCTCAAGTAGAAGGAAAAGGTCTCCTTTGCAGGCATGAGCTGTTCAATCTGGGGTTAGGAAATGTGGGGATGCCAACCCTTCCTTAGCTGCCCTGGCTGGTGTCTCAGTATGCCATGTGTCCTCACAATGCACTGTCTCTTGGCCTAGTTCAGCACCAAGACTCGCCTACAAGTTGCAGACCTTACGGTCTAGACTGCCTTTTGTGCTTACTTAGAGACAAATATCTGCCTTTCATGTTTACTTAGAGACAAAGAGCACTGTAGCCCTCAGGGCTACTTGAGTGGAACTCAAGTTCCACTCGCTGTGATCCAAAATTCCACTCTGGGTAGGCCTAGTTTAAATGCTCCTTCTGTGGGTGAGCATCAGCCATCAGTCTGTTTTTCCTTTCTGATCTAACAGAAAAGAACTGAGTTTAGGGCCTGACAATTTCTGTGTTCTCTCCCTTACAGCATTCAGAGATGACCGCCACAGCACTTTGCTGCTGCTGGGGGTGGGGGAGGAATAACATCTCATTTCATGACTGTGTTTTCTTTCTCTTCAATGCCTCTTTCAGTGATATGAAGTTAAAACCGGGTACTATGAGTCCTTACCAGATTATAGGTTATTATATAGGTTTTTTCTTCTCTGTAGATAGTGGTTATTTTGATGTCCTTTGTTGGGGGACAATCCATGAAGACTTCCATTCTGCCATCTTGTTCCAACTCTCTGAACTGTTCATTAAAACTTTCTAATGTGTCATTTGAGGTCTAAGACTACTTAAACATGAAGAAAGACAACCTGGATTGTTGCACCTGGAACCAGAATCTTATAGCATCTACGATCTTTACATGAGGTGCATTTCTCAGTATAAAATTTAAAAGAAAACAGGTTTTTGAGAATCATCCTAAGCCATGTGTGTAATTTAAACCTGCTCTTTTTGGAAAATATCTGTACCTTTAGATAATTAGAGGTGGTTATAGGTTGTATCTTTCTTCTATTGTATTCCTGTTAGGTAGTTTGTAACAGAGCAAGTTTCATCGTTCATGTAGAAATTATTTCACATAAGCAACCTTTTTTATTTTTCATTTTTAACAAGCAGGCAGAGTCTTTCCTGTAACTTTAGTGAATTGTATCCCTGCTTACACAAAAGATGTTTGAAGTAAATGAAATTTCATAATAAGAAGATAAGCCAATTTCTCAGTCATGTTGGGAAACAGAATAGGAAGACATAAAGTGATATTCTTAATCTCCAGTCACTTTCTTAGGTTCAAATCCAGCTATAGTCCCCTGATGCACCTTGACCATGGGTGCATCATCAAATTGCAAAAATTTTCTCCCATTCTGTAGGTTGCCTGTTGACTCTGAAGATAGTTTCTTTTGCTGTGCAGAAGCTCTTTAGTTTAATTAGATCCCATTTGTCAATTTTGGCTCTTGTTGCCATTGCTTTGGTGTTTTAGTCATGAAGTCTTTGCCCATGCCTATGTTCTCAATGGTATTACCTAGGTTTTCTTCTAGGGTTTTTATGGTTTTATGTTGTATGTTTAAGTCTTTAATCCATCTTGAGTTAATTTTTGTATAAGGTGCAAGGAAGTGGTCCAGTTTCAGTTGCAGTTTTCTGCATATGGCCAGCCACTTTTCCCAACACCATTTATTAAATAGGGAATCCTTTCCCCAGTTCTTGTTTTTGTCAGGTTTGTCAAAGATCAGATGGTTGTAGATGTGTGGTGTTATTTCTGAGGTTTCTGTTTTGCTCCATTGGTCTATATATCTGTTTTGGTACCACTACTATGCTGTTTTGGTTACTGTAGCCTTGTAATATAGTTTGAAGTCAGGTAGGGTGATGCCTACAGCTTTGTTCTTTTTGCTTCAGATTGTCTTGGCAATATGTGCTCTTTTTTGGATCCATATGAAATTAAAAGTAGTTTTTTCTAATTCTGTGAAAAAAGTCAATGGTAGGTTGATGGGGAAAGTATTGAATCTATAAATCACTTTGGGCAGTATGGTCATTTTCACGATATTAATTCTTCCTATCCATGAGCATGGAATATTTTTCCATTTGTTTGTGTCCTCGCTTATTTCCTTGAGCAGTGGTTTGTAGTTCTCCTTGAAGAGGTCCTTCACATTTCTTGTAGGTTGTATTCCTAGGTATATTATTCTCTGTGTAGCAATTGTGAGTGGGAGTTCATTCATGATTGGGATCTCTGTTTTGTCTATTATTGGTGTATAGGAATGCTGGTGATTTTTGCACATTGATTTTGTATCCTGAAACTTTGCTGAAGTTGCTTATCATCTTAAGGAGATTTTGGGCTGAGACGATGGGGTTTTCTCAATATACAATCATGACATCTGCAAACAGAGAGAATTTGACTTCTTCTCTTCTTATTTGAATACACTTTATTTTTTTCTCTTGCCTGGTTGCCCTGGCCAGAACTTCCAATACTATGTCTAATAGGAGTGGTGAGAGAGGACATCCTTGTCTGTTTTGGTTTTCAAAGGGAATGCTTCCAGCTTTTGCCATATCAGTATGATATTGGCTGTGGGTTTGTCATAAATAGCTCTTATTATTTCCAGGTACGTTCCATCACTACCTAGCTGATTGAGAGATTTTAGCATGAAGGGGTGTTGAATTTTATTGAAGGCCTTTTCTGCATCTATTGAGATAATATGTGGTTTTGTCATTGGTTCTGTTTATGTGATAAATTATGTTTATGGATTTGCATATGCTGAACCAGTCTTGCATCCCACGTATAAAACCGATTTGATCATGGTGTATAAGCTTTTGGATGTGCTGCTGGATTTGGTTTGCCTGTATTTTATTGAGGATTTTCGCATCTATGTTCATCAGGGATATTGGTCTGAAATTTTCTTTTTTTGTTGTGTCTCTGCCAGGTTTGAGTATCACGATGATGCTGGCCTTACAAAATGAGATAGGGAGGAGTCCCTCTTTTTCTATTGTTGGGATAGTTTCAGAAGTAATAGTGTCAGCTCCTTTTTGTACCTCTGGTAGAATTTGGGTGTGAATCCTCTTGGTTCTGGGCTTTTTTTGGTTTGTAGGCTATTAATTACTGCCTCAATTTCAGAACTTGTTATTGTTCTATTCAGGGATTCGACTTCTTCCTCGTTTAGTCTTGGAGGGTGTTTGTGTCCAGGAATTTATTGATTTGTTCTAGATGTTCTAGTTTATTTGTGTAGAGGTGTTTATAGTATTCTCTGGTGGTAGTTTGTATTTCTGTGGAATCAATTGTGACATCCCCTTTATCATTTTATATTTCATCTATTTTATTCTTTTCTATTTTCTTTATTAGTCTCGCTAGCAGTTTATCTATTTTGTTAATGTTTTCAAAAAAACACCTCCTGGATTCATTGATTTTTGAAGGGGCTTTGTGTCTCTATCTCTTTCAGTTCTGCTCTGATCTTATTTATTTCTTGTCTTCTGCTAGCTTTTGAATTTGCTCTTGCTTCTCTAGTTCTTTTAATTGTGATGTTAAGGTGAAGCTTTTAGATCTTTCCCTCTTTATCCTGTGGGTATTTAGTGGCATAAATTTTTCTGTACACACTGCTTTAGCTGTGTCCCAGAGATTCTGGTATGTTGTATCTTTGTTCTCATTGGTTTAAAAAAACTCCTTTATTTCTGCCTTAATTTTGTTATTTACCAGTAGTCATTTAGGAGCAGGTTGTTCAGTTTCCATGTAGTTGTGTGGTTTTGAGTGAGTTTTTTAAACCTGAGTTCTAATTTGATTGTACTGTGGTCTGAGAAACTGTTTGTTATGATTTTGTCCAGAGCTGAGTTCAAATCCTGAATATGCTTGTTAATTTTCTGTCTCATTGATCTAATATTGACAGTGGGGTATTAACGTCTTCCATTATTATTGTGTGGGAGTCTAAGTCTATTTGCAGTCCTTTAAGAACTTGCTTTATGAATCTGGGTGCTACAGTATTGAGTGCATTTATATTTAGGATAGTTAGCTCTTCTTGTTGCATTGATCCCTTTACCATTATGTAATGCCCTTGTCTTTTTTTATCTTTGTTAGTTTAAAGTCTGTTTTATCAGAGACTAGGATTGCAACCCCTGCTTTTTTTGTGTGCTTTGCATTTGCTTGGTAAATATTTCTCCATCCCTTTATTTCGAGCCTATGTATGTCTTTGCACATGACATGGGTCTCCTGAATACAGCACACCAATGGGTCTTGACTCTTTATCCAATTTGCTAGTCTGTGTCTTTTAATTGGGGCATTTAACCCATTTACATTTAAGGTTAATATCATTATGTGTGAATTTGATCCTGTCCTTATGATGCTAGCTAGTTATTTTGTGCATTAGTTGATGCAGTTTCTTGATAGTGTCGATGGTCTTTACAATTTGGTATGTTTTTGCAGTGGATGATACTGATTTTTCCTTTCCATATTTAGTGCTTCCTTCGGGAGCTCTTGTAAGGCATGCCTGGTGGTGACAAAATCTCTCAGCATTTGCTTTTCTATAAAGAATTTTATTTCTCCTTCACTTATGAAGCTTAGTTTGGCTGGATATGAGATTCTGGGTTGAAAGTTCTTTTCTTTAAGAAGGTTGAATATTGACCCCTCACTCACTTCTGGTTTGTAGGGTTTCTGCAGAAACATCCACTTTTAGTCTGATGGGCTTTCCTTTGTGAGTAACCTGACCTTTCTCTCCGGCTGCCCTTAACATTTTTTCTTTCATTTAAACCTTGGTGAATATGATGATTATGTGTCTTGAGGTTGCTCTTATCAAGGAGTATCTTTGTGGTGTTCTCTGTATTACCTGAATTTGAATGTTGGCCTGTCTTGCTAAGCTGGGATGTTCTCCTGGATAATATCCTGAAGAGTGTTTTCCAACTCGCTTCTATTCTCCCTTTCACTTTCAGGTACACCAATTAAATGTAGGTTTGATCTTTTCGCATAGTCCCATATTTCTTAGAGGCTTTGTTCATTCCTTTTCAATCTAATCTTGTCTTCATGCTTTATTTTATTAAGTCGATCTTCAATCTCTGATATCCTTTCTTTCACTTGATCAATTTGGCTATTGATACTTGTGTATGCTTCACAAAGTTCTTGTGCTGTGTTTTTCAGCTCCATCACATCATTTATGTTCCTCTCTAAACTGGTTATTCTAGATGGCAATTCCTCTAACCATTTTTCAGCATTCTTAGCTTCCTTGTGTTGGGTTAGAACATGCTTCATTAGCTTGGAGGAGTTTGTTATTACCCACCTTTTGAAGCCTACTCTGTCAATTTGTCAAACTCATTCTCTGTCCAGTTTTGTTCCCTTGCTGGCGAGGAGTTGTGATCCTTTGGAGGAGAAGAGGCATTCTGGTTTTTGGAGTTTTAGGCCTTTTTGAGCTTTTTTTGGTCATCTTTGTGGATTTATCTACCTTTGGTCTTTGATGCTGGTGACTTTTGAGTGGGGTTTTTGTGTGGACATCCTTTTGTTGATGTTGATGCTATTGCTTTCTATTTGTTAGTTTTCCTTCTAACAGTCAGGCCCCTTCTGCTGCATGTCTGCAGGAGTTTGCCAGAGATCCACTCCAGATCCTGTTTGTCTGGGTATCACCAGTGGAGGCTGCAGAACAGTAATGATTGCTGCCTGTCTCTTCCTCTGGAAGCTTCATCCCAGGAGGGAAGCTGCCAGATGCCAGCTGGATCTTTCCTGTATGAGAAGTCTGTCAATTCCTGCTGGGAGTTGTCCGCCCAATCAGGAGGCACACGGGTCAGTGACCCACTTGAGGAGGCAGACTCTCCATTAGCAGAGCTCGAGTGCTGTGTTGGGAGATCTGCTGCTCACTTCAGAGCTGGCAGGCAGAAATGTTTAAGTCTGCTGAAGCTGCACCCACAGCCACCCCTTCCCCCAGGTGCTCTGTCCCAGGGAGATGAGTTTTATCTGTAAGCCACTGACTGGGGCTGCTGCCTTTCTTTCAGACATTCCCTACCCTGAGAGGAGGAATCTAGAGAGGCTGTTTGGCTACAGCAGCTGGCTGGCAAGATGGCCGAATAGGAAGAGCTCTGGTCTGCAGCTCCCAGTAAGATCAATGCAGAAGGGTTGGGTGATTTTTGCATTTCCAACTGAGGTACCCAGCTCATCTTATTGTGACTGGCTAGGCAGTGGGTGCAGCCCAGGCAAGGCGAACTGAAGCAGGGTAGGGTGTCATCTCATCCCAGAAGCATAAAGCGTCAGGGAACTCCCTCTCCTAGCCAAGGGAAGCTCTGACGGACTGTGCCATGAGGATTATGCATTCTGTCTCAGATACTACTCTTTTCCCACAATCTTTGCAACTTGCAGATGAGGAGATTCTCTTGGGTGCCTACACCACCAGGGCTCTGGGTTTCAAGCACAAAACTGGGCAGCCATTTGGCAGACACTGATATAGCTGCAGGAATTTGTTTGTTTGTTTGTTTGTTGTTTTATCCATACTCCAGTGGCACCTGGAGCGCCAGTGAGACAGAATCATTCACTCCCCTGGAAAGGGGCTGAAGTCAGGGAGCCAAGTGGTCTAGCTCAATGGATCTCACCCCTATGTAGCCCAGCAAGCTAAGATCCACTGGCTTGAAATTCTTGCTGCTAGCACAGTAGTGTGAAGTCTACCTGGGACGCTGGAGCTTGGTGGAGGGAGGGGCATCCACCATTCCTTGGCTTGGGGCGGTTTTCCCCTCACAGTGTAAACAAAGCTGCAGGAAGTTCAGACTGGGTTGAACCCACTGCAGTGCAGCAAAAATAAATTTTTTACAATTAAAAAACACTGGTAGTAAGTGTAATTTTGGAAGAAATATGACTATCTAATATGTAATAATAAAACAGGAGAAGGAATAGAGGTTGAGGATGATTACTTGGTAGTCACAATAATTTTTGTTACTATTTTATTATTATTATTAAAATAATAAAATACAGTGTAGCTGTTTAATACTACAAAAAATTTCCAAAAACTATACTGATTTCAAAGGAAAATTGCCCACGGAATTACAGATGAATTAGAAGGATTCAATGGAGAGAAAACTGTTCATGGTAGAGAGTAACTATTAGATAACTTTTCCTGAGAATACAAAACAAATAGCACTGTGAGTATATAAGGGGTGTTGTGTTAGCCGTGGAAGGGAAGAAAGTATTGTTCTTTATCTGATAACGTGTCAGGAAACAGGCAATAATACATATTATTTTAGGAGCATTTTTAGATATAGGGTTGGGAAATTGGCCAGTTTAATGCCATGCAGTCACTGTTTAACTTAGGATGACATGATAATGTCATCACTTGAAATCATAGAAGATTCATATTGGGAAAATATGTTAAAATTTAGAATAATTTTTGTAGAAATGGAACATGTAGCTAACTCTGAGTGAGTATAGGAATTCGTAGCTAGCTTCAGTGTTTTGGCTTAAGATTTTTAAAAATATTAAATGTGTTACAGAGAGAAGCCAAAAAATACGTTATATATAATCTTGCTGACACTATTCAGCAGACTGATAAAGTGCAACTACAGATTACCTTTTATGTGTAGGAAATGCACACAATAGGTGAGAAAATTATGCTATTTTTAAAACAAGGAAATCTTACAGCCAAAGTTGACACCTTTACATAATGAGTGGAAATTTTATGCACAATCATTTGGAGCTAATCGAGCCCATGAAGTCACATAGTCACATGAGATATGCTATGTCACAGTTTCAGTGCCTGGCAGACAGTTATGGAAACACACGGATAGTGAATTTATGTTGACAGTAGCACTTGGGAATTAAGTACTGAAATTCTACCACTTCATAATTGGATTTTGGCACCTCCTCTTAATCTCCTCTGGATAAAACATAGCACTACTAGCAAGTGGCATACTACAGTGTTACTTGGAGCTTTGTTAAGTAGCAAATTGCTGCTGACACTACTGGTATTTTTAGTACTTAGGGAAATGCACAATAAAATTGAGATTAAAACAAATAGAGTTAACCTAAAATGTGGCAAAAAGAAAAAAATGTCATTCTAGTAGGAAACTATTAATAACTAGACTTTGCTATTTTGTAGTAAATAATCTATTATGTTGAAAGCTATTTAATAATGGATTTTATATTGGAACTTTGTTGTTTTTATTGCTTCTGTAGTTTCAAATGAAACGTGACTAATGATAACTTTAGTTCTTTCAAATATTAGTAAAACAACCAAGAAGTACATATTAGTAACATATTTTAGAAATACCTTGCAAAAAGTCAAGATGTTAAAAAAAGATCAGGCTGCTTGCAGCTATGTCTTTCTAGTCATGGTCAGAACTACTTAAGGCTATAGAGCAAAAAGGAGCTAGCCTGTCTCTGTTTATTCATGATGCTTAAGGCTATTTGTTAAGCATAGAAGAGTGGCTCCAAACCTTTATTTTAGGTGGATGTTAGATGGGTTCACTAAGGATTATGGCCCTGAAGTCAAGTGTTGAGTGGCAGTACATACAGGGTGATAAAGAATTTAAACTCAGAGGGTATGATTATTTATTATTATTTGTAACATATTTAAACCATCTTGCCTCATGATTTTGTGTCACTGATATACTCAACATTAAATTCTTAATGAGTTTTAGATGATGTTCTTTTGCTGAGTTATGATATTTACAATTTATTTTATAATATGTTGACATACAACAGGATTTGGGGGACAAATTTTAAAGTTCTACATAAAGTCCTTAACTTCATTTTTAATAGGATGCTTTACCCTAAATTTTAGTCAACCATTTATAATAACAGATGCTCAGAGATTCCCTAAGTGGCATTTATCAGCAACTCTTCTTCCAAAATATTCTTATAGCTATGAAGAGAGGAAAGATGGCAGGTGTCATGGAAAGACACATCAACTGTGCTGTTGGTTCTTAGTTTATTGAATGTCTTGAAATTAAAAAAGGTACAGCTGCTAGGTCATAACATCTATAAGGAAATTAAACAAATTTACGAGAGAAAAGCAAACAACCCCATTGAAAAGTGGATAAAGGACACGAACAAACACTTTTCAAAACAAAACATACATGTGGGCAACAAGCACATGAAAAGAAAAGCTGAACATCATTGACCATTACAGAAATGCAAGTCAGAACCACAATGAGATACCATCTCATACCAGTCAGAATGGATATTACTAAAAATTAAAAAAAAAAACAGATGCTGGAGAGGGAAACAAAAATGGAGCTGGAGGCCATTATCCTTAGCCAACTAACACAGGAACAGAAAAACACATAGCACATGTTCTCACTTATAAGTGGGAGCTAAATGATGAGAACTCATTAACAGAAAGAAGGAAACAACAGACACTGGGGTCGACCTCAGGGTGGAGAGTGGGATGAGGGAGAGGAGCAGAAAATATAACTATTGGGTACTGAGCTTCCTTAATACCTGGTTGATAAAATAATCTGTGCAACAATCCCACATGACACTAGTTTACCTATACAAGAAACCTTCACATGTACCTAAAATAAAACCTAAAATAAAAAAAAGAAAAAGAAAATAGCTATTGCCGTACCTGTAAATAGATGACTAAAAGTGAAACTCTTCTTTGTGATAACCCACAATGGAAAAGGAGCAAAGTATTATCCATATTTTGGCAAGTTTCAGAATCAATTCTCCATCAAATATCCTCCACTCCAACCCAACACAATAAACAACAGAAGGAAAAAGACTTTGAAATGTAAAACTGGGACTCTTTCAGAGGTTCTTTATACATCTGGAGAGAAAGGAAAACATTTACAGAAGTCAGTTATAGTTAATTTATTTTACAATAGGACGTCTTCATAAAAGTATGTATTTTTATTTAAATATATGGTAACTAAATACATGAGAATCTAAAAAAAATTTAAATGAACTTTTAAATAGATTATGTATATAATGTACAGCAAGACAGAAACAAATATTTATAGTCCAAGAGAATGAATGTTGCTGAATTTCAGCTTGTTTTGGTAGTTCATCACATTATTGCAAAAATAGCAGCAATTATGTTAATAGCCCTCTTCATAACAACTGTAGTTGATAAATGACATCAATTTCATGGTGTCCAGACAAGAATTTAAATTTCTTTTTTGGGGCTCCATAATTCAGACCACAGTGAAATTCTGAAATTTTTGCCTATCTTCATATTGTTTTCTGACTCTTCCTGGGCATCTAGCTAGCTGTATCTGTGAAATATTGTGGAAAGCACTTTGTTCATGGCTTTTTATAATTGTTCAGTTCTCAGTTGAATTATCTTCTCCTCAGGGATGTCTTCCTATAATCACATGTCCAAAAATATCCCAGTTATTCTTTCTATATCTCTATAAGGATGAAGAGAAGTCCATCTATAAATTTTATGTTTATTCTCCTATAAATTACTTATTTTGCTCACTGAAGAATCCATTGATTTTTAAAATGTCTTTAAAGTCTGCATATTATGTATTTGCTATCGACCTGTTTATAAAAGTTGTTTTTTACATTTATATATTTTGGTTTTGTTTCTTTGTTTTTTTCGTATTAGGCAATGTGCTGAAGTCCTAAGCTTTGAGGGAGGCACATCTCATACATGAGCATGAAAACTCATATATCACACTTATGAACCACAAAAGTACCTCATTTTTTAATTGTCTATTCATGTCAATGAGTTTATCTTTTGAAATTGATTTGATTATCAGGATCTATGAATGAAACTACCGATTTTTTTTGTTTCACTTGCCCCATCAAAATGCATTTTATCCACAATAGCAACAATCTCCTTTGAAAAAATAAGCAAATACCACCTAGTAGCGCTCTCATTCTCTTAGACTAAACTCCAACTCCACAGCATTTACTACAGAGCACTGTGTGATATGGCCCCCACCAACTTGTTGACAATATACTTTATTGCAATCAAGACACATGAACCTACTTTCTGATTATAAAAAATAGTAAGTTCATTTTTATGTTGGGAGATTTCCAATTGCACATTCCTTTGTCTAAAATTATTTTCTTCTACATATTTACATGACAAGCTGCCTCTCATAATTTAGTTTTAGCTGAAATAATTATATCTTCTTTTACGTCCTACCTGAAATCCTTTCCAAAGTAAAATGTGCCCCGTTTTGGGGAATGCTCTCTGTCAAAATCCTCTTTGTGTTTCACCATTACACAATCATATTTACCTGAATTCACCATTGCCTATTTAGAAGGTGCACCTTGCTCTCCTTATTCCCTATTATATTCCCAGTAAAGAGAATATTGTATTAGAGGTCTCATTAAATATTTGGTGAATGCTGTTTCTTTCTTCTTGGATAACATGAATAAAAACACTAACTTTATTCTTAAATACAGATTTATGTAAGCTCACTTTATTTCACTAGAAATAATGTCAAGAAGGAGTAAAGTGTCATCATCATTCATGGAAGACCCAGGAGTGACAAGCTAAAAATTTAATGTTTTGTGTGTAATTTTCAAAACAGCCCTATGATAAAGGCATTGCTATTTCATTTTAACAAAATTGGGTACATGATGCTGTGAGAAATTAAGTAAGTCTAAATTCAGAAATTGCCTCAAGCTCTATTTGAAAAATTGATGTTTGTTACACAATTCTAATTCTGTCTATGAAAAAGTCTGCATCATGCTTATTTTTAGTATTCTGTAACATATATAGCAAAATAAAGATTATAATAGTCATTGTTCATATATAATTTTGTGACAGCAGAAAGCAGTATAATCAAATGTAAGAATATCAGTTCATAAGGGATATTTGTGTTTATCAGTTTTAGAAGTAATATGATCTGCTTAGTCACAAGGTCATTATTAGAAAGTTAAATATTTTAAAGTGAAATCGTTGGTTGGCTAGAGCTACACAAAGCATGCTAATGACCTCTACTTATTTGAGAAGTTCAGTGACATAATACATAATACCCATTTATATTCTGCTAAAACCTTCTAGTTATTTAGTTGTACGAATACTGACATACTCTTAGTGGAGTAAAATTTTATAGTAAAAACAGCCACCACAATTAGTTTTCCAAAAAACTAGTTTACAAAAACTATTATATTTTATATAATGATCATGTTGATGATTTAACTTACAAGAACAATGCAAGAGTCTCACATATTTTTCAAACTCAAAAAGTACAAAAATGCACCTGTGAATAACAAGTGATGAATCAAAGACAAGTGGGGAAATAAAACAAACACACAAGAACAACAGCAAAGGGAAAAATAATTTGTTGTGGTTTTTGGGCTGATTTATTGGATACATTTCTGAAGTACCATAAAATTATTGGACATATATAAAGTGTATTGTGGGTGATCAGATTTAAATGTATCTGCTGATGTATTAGTTGAGTAATGCATTGTGCTTCAGAGATGTTTCTCCTAATTCTCTGTGGCATAGAGTCTGCTATTCCATTTATTGGAATAGAAAACTGACTTCTTGCAGCAAAAGACTTTAGTTGAGAAACGTAATTGCTTCAGTATCAGTCAATAACATTTAATCTTACTAGGTTCCTTGAATTTCTAGGTTTGCTCCTTCATTTTTGGATACTAGTCAGAACATCTTCCTGGAAGATTTTGTCCTGGAAGATTTTGTCCTGAAAGATAATTGTCATATCTCTTTTAAGAGCTCTCCTTTAGACTTTCTTCTGAAGAAAATTTCACGTTCTCTGTGCCAATGGGTTATTTTTTTTCTTTTTATCAGAACTTCCCCATTGTATGTTACACCTTATGTGGATATTTTTCTCTCCCTAAATTTTTGCAAAGCTCTAATTCAGACAGAAGTTCAATTCTGAAATGTGCATGTCTGGAGATAACTTCTAATATTAACTGTAGAATTATGTACAATGAATGACTCTAATTCATTTAGTCACTCCATAAAAAATGATCGAGCATCTAATGTATGGCAAACACAGTGTGAAGGACTATGAATTCGAAAGTCACTTTTATTTGGGCCTGACTATCTTGGAGCTTCAGCTGGGAGGGGAAAGAAACTCTTGCAAGATAGTGTTTTATGTACTATGAGAGAAGTGTTTGGCATGTTCTGTTTAAATAACTCAAAGAGGACAACAAAATGTAAACAATGACTAAAAATTTAATTAACTTTATTTTTTCCTGGCTGATTACCAAATTATAAAGAAATACATCATAGCTAAACCAATTAATTTATAATTTCAATATATTTGAAATGTCCTACAATGGTTTGTTATTCAGTAAAAGCTCATTAAATATTTCTTCAAGTAAAGTATAATTATAAAGAAGATGACACTCATTTATTGATGCTGTAAATGTGAATGTTAGTTAATACAGCTAATTATGACTGAAGGTGAGTTATTGCTGCACCATCTGTTCTTAGCACCTCACCTCTCACTTACTGGAGTCTCAGAACTCAGAACAAAATTTGGGAAATTCTGACCCAGGAGATTTTTTCCGGAATTTCCCTCAGACAAAATAATATAACACAATAAAACACACTATAACAAGCCTATTTAGTTTTTTGCTCTTTTTTTTTTAATTAGGAGTCAAAGTTGACAATTATATGATATTTCCATGTCTTATATGTAGGCAAAACAGATTAAGTTATTGATTAATAATCTGTAAGGTCTGGTTTTCTTTTAGCTCACCAATCTGATAGTTCAATCTGAGATCTGATTTTAGCTACTGCCTCCTTTTGAAATGGTCAATTTTATTCTTTTAGGATCGGACTCAAACTGGGTATATGTATTAGGAACCCACAGAATGCTTCAGTGTTTTTTTTGTTCCTGTCTGGGAGAAGAGGGAGAAGAGAATAAGTAGTTGTGTTTGTTAGCATGTGGGTATAGTAAAAATAGCTTCCTTAAACTGGGAAGTAGAGAGGAATGGTGAGAGACCTCAGAAAGAGAGAATTGAGTCCAGGATAAAAGATTTGAAATGCTAGCTTTCCTGAGACTTTGAATTTAATTTGTGGCTACTGTACCTGATGGTAAACACAGCCATATGGTAGAGGGTGACTGAAGAGAATGACCTGGGTTTGGACTGGGAAGCAGGAAGGCTGTTTTAGAAATAATCTTTATATATCTGCTACATTACCAAGAAGAAAATGGTAGATTATATTTACGAGAACATGTCTGTAGGTATTAAAGAAAAAAACAGCTTCAAAGCATCTGAATATCAAGTTATGTAAAGGGAGGCATTACTATTCTATTATATAATCGATCTCAGTGAAGAAACACTTATTTTTAACAAACTGTATTCTTCAATAATGGGAATATATTAATTACAGTGTTTCAACATCTGCAGATCTCATATTTGAATATTTTGAAAGTACACATTCTTTATTAGCTAGGTGATTTATTTGGTTGCCTTAGTAAACAACAAACAACAGTGCCTTAATTAAGAGAAAACCCTCATTTTCTCAATTATACAAAAGTTTAAGCTAACAGGTGGCCCGCAGGATAGGGCACCTGAACTACCAGAGGTCACACAGGTACACAGTTTCCTTTTACCTTCTTCCTTCATCATCTTCATCTGCAAGGCCAAGGCTGGTCCATTAGCACCCCTTCTCATACTAGTGATCAGGATGGGGAGGAGAAAAAAGCTTCCCCTGAAGGATGTAATTGAAAAATTTTACATATCATTTTTCCCTCATATCTCATTGAGTAGCGCTAAATTACACATTAAGTCTTTCCTGCAAGAGGGGCTGTTTTTGCTAGCTAGGTAGCACTAAACACAGCATAATTTGTTCTTACCTTACTAAGTGAAAGGAAGAAAAATGAATATTGAGATAAAACTACACATCTCTATGCTACTTCCATGAAATTAGAAAAAAAAATGAGGCCTATGATATTATTTGGTATATTTTACCTCGTTAAACAAGACACAAAAATACATACTACTCTTCTAAGGAATGCAGTTTTAAAATTACTAAAAATTCCTTGTTTAAAAAAATCTGATGTTTGTCAATGAATTTATTACTAAAGAATTATTAAACATATTATAATATTCCCATACTGCTATTAAAGTTATTTGTAGTTCAATTTTAAATATAATAAAAATAAATGGCAAAAATGTAGTTAGCTTGCCAAAAAGCATTTAAGATTCTGAGACAGAATGATACCTAGGATACCGATATGTAATCTCTTTATTTTTAGGTTATTTCAGAACACAAAACTCCCAACTATCTATGTAGCAAGTTATATGCATGAACTTATAAGGATTCAGACATTTTAAAAATATTATTTTTATAAAACTGACACAAATCTAAAGAAAACCTAGTAACATACACTAAAAAATTAAAAGTAGCATGTTTATATCTTTTCTTTTATCTTTTACACAGGAAGATATACAAATGTCACTTCCTTTTCACATTCAATAGAAAAGTGGCTAAAGGTAGTAAAAAATGTACCACCAAAGCATGAGAAAAACATACAATAAAAACAACTGTATTATTAGAAATAAATTATTATAATATGATTATATATAAAAAAATTCTGGAATTTCTTATTGATCAGTTATGCTCCTAACCTGTACTTGATAGAGTAAATATAATTGCTTTGTATTAGAAATATTTTTCAGTCTATCAGCTAACACACTTGAAACATAAGCATTTTTCTCTGACATGTATATTTTAAAAACTGTTGTGGTACTTTTCTTATACATACAGCTTAACATACACACATATATGCCACATGTATGGTTTGTATTATATAAAACATAATAAAATTAAATATATTACTTAACTGAAATTTCAATAGTATATCTGTAAATTATTTCATTCTTGCTTTCCAGATATATGGAGCACAGTTCTTTCTTATCAGAGCGATTGAAACGGAAGAAATGAGGACAAATAAATTTTTGATTGATGTTGCTTTAAATTCAGGTTCTCCAACATAAATATTAATTGGCCTTGTTTAATTATTTCCAGACTGTTCTAGTTATCTTTAATATTATCCATGGGACTAATATGTCCAGATGATTTACCGTCCTAATCTCACTACCTCTTTCATTAGTTCCAGCATTAGTTCCTCTTACTTCACAATCAGAAAATAAAATAAAAATGGATAAATTTATCTGTACATTCATCCACATTTTACTCCAACTATAACAGATATTATTTCTCATGTGTTAAAAAGTTAATGTTGTTGATTAATCTTATTTCCCTTGCATTTTCAAAATTCCGTCTCAAATATCTGCATGACATCAGCATTAAAAAAAGATTCTTCAAAGCTTCAAAACAAAGTTAAGAATTTTGTTTTTAAGAAAGCATGCTCAGTTTTGCCTTTTATTACTTGCTGTCTTAACTTGTCCTAATTTTGCAAATTGTCCTAATATGTACCAATGAATAAAGAAACATGTTCTAATAACATATTCTCAAAGTTCACAGTTAAAAATTTAAAATAATAACTATTGCCAGTCATAGAAGAGCCAATTATTTCAAATGCACACCCACAAGACAACTTTAAACATGTGTTTTCTCCACTTCAACTCACTTTTGCTCTTGAACACACTTTCTTTTGCCCCGTATAAAAATAGAACCATTCTCCAATGCTCTCTAGTACATTGCATTACTTTTTAAAAACACATTAATACTTACACCTTTCTTTATTTTCTGCCTTTCCATCCACAATCAAATGTAAGTACCATGAGAAAAAGAACTTGATGCATTTATTCCCTCAGCACACTCATCTCAAAAAGTTTGTTTTGCATGTAACTGCTTGATATTTATTTGCCAAATAAATGAATAAAAATAAATGAAGTTTATTCTTTTCCTCTGGTGAGGTAAATGATAGAGTTAAGTAATATTAAAATGAAAAAGGTTCTCAGCAATCATTTAGTCATATTGCCAATGCCATACAAGTAAATGCGTGATCAGGGAAATCAAGGCAATTGCTAATATTTAAGTTTTAGTGGATTTCAATGATAAACAGTTTAATAATTTTAGTATATTTTCTGAATGACCTTGAAGTTAAATTCTCAGTTCCTTCTAATTGAATGTGATTATCTCCAATTCTATATATAAATCACATTTCCAATCCTGAATATACATGTTAATAGTAAGAATATATTTGTGTAATATGTAAGGATCCTGACTATCATCAAGATTTTATTTCAATTTGATCTAGCTGTTGATTATCTCTTCCAGTTCATATTTGCTTCATCTATTTGTATTTATATTTCTATTTTTGTAAACTATTGAGTAAATTTCTATTACATTATCCAATCCATAAACAAGGAAATGGGAAGTAATTTGTATGTTTTATCTCAGTAAAAGTCTGGAATATAGGAGTTACATTTTTTATTTCACTGAATTTCAATCAGCTTGGATGTAGCAACTGTTGATTGACCTGAATAAAGTGTACCTCTCAACAAGTTGATTTAAGTCTACTTTGCTGCTACAAAAGATTCTAAAATATGTGCTATTTTAGACAACCATCTGGTCCCCTAAATTCAAAACTTTACTTGACTGCAGTCTTAGGAAACAAACTTTTTGTTTCTAATTAAATCATGTTTTACTCTGTTGTACATAAAACTTGAAATGTGGCAAGTATTTTTTGGTTTCAACTTATGTGAATAATTTTTTGTCATGAATCTTGCCTGAGGTAAGCACACAGAACAGTTAGTAGGAAATCAATCATAATGAATAACGGGGCTTAGATTTCTCAAAGTGTTACAAAAAGTAGGAAGGAAGGAAGGAAGGAAGGAAGGAAGGAAGGAAAAGGAAGGAAGGAAGGAAGGATTTATTGTAGTGTATTGTAACCATTTTTTTATTAGTCAGTGGCAAATTTTCTACTAAAATGTGAAAAATGACTAATTCAAGATTTCTGTAAATTACTAATGCTGTCATACCACCTTTTTGGGCCTCTAATCTCATGAAGTTTCTTTCAATGAAGTTTAGTGAAAATACTGATATTTTTGTTATTCTTTCAATGACAAGGACAATTCTTTTCAGCATTGAAGAGATAACTAGAGGCTGCTGAACAATCATGGCTCTGCAATATGAGACATACCATATTATGTTTCCAATGGTGTTGTTCGGTGGTGACTTCTATTAATGCTTTCAGTAAAACACTTGGAATGTTCTTTGAAGGGTTTATGTATTACAGAAGTATTTATAAAGTGCATATTGTGGCATGCCATGTATCAGAAGTTAGAGGTATAGAGTTAAATAAGATTGACGTAGTATTTGTTCTCAGGAAAGAGTCTATTTGATGAAAGAGCAGTTTCTGACTCAACTCTTAAATTTAGTGTATTATTCCATTTTCACACTGCTATAAAGAACTGCCCAAGACTGAGTAATTGATAAATGCAAAAGGTTTAATTGACTCACAGTTCCACATGGCTAGGGATGCCTCAGGAAACTTACAATCATGGTGGAAGTCAAAGGGGAAGCAAGGAGTTTCTTCACATGGTGGCAGGAGAGAGAAGAGTGAAGGGGGAAGAGACCTTTATAAAACCATCAGCTGTCATGAGATCTCACTGACTATCACAAGAACATTATGGGGAAAACCACCTCTTTGATCCAATCACCTTCCTCCCTTGAGATGTGGAGATTATAACTCAAGATGAGATTTGGGTGGGGACACAAAGCCTAAGTTGTCATTCTGCCCCTGGCCCCTCCCAAATCACATGCCACTTTCACTTGTGCCAATCACCAACTTTTGGCCAATCAAATGTAGCCAACTGTTTGAAACCTGTTCAAATAAGGAAAACATCAAACTGTAACCAATCTACCTGTTTCTGTACCTCATTTCCATTTTCTATATGTTACTTTTCTTCTTTTGTCCATAAATCTTCCACCACGTGGCTGTGCTGGAGTATTTGAGCCTACTCTGGCTTGGAAGACTGCTTGATTCATGAATAATTCTTTGCTCAATTAAACTCCTTTAAATTTAATTTGGCTGATGTTTTTGTTTTATCAAGGTGGTGTCTTCAACAGCATTCTGTCAGTAATGGACAGTTCCAGCAGTTAGAAAATCAATAAGGACATGGTTGAACTGAATGGCACCATCAATCAAATATCTCTAATTGACATATATACAATACTTTATACAACAGTGTCAGAACACACATTCTTCTCAATCTCACATGGAATATTCACCAAGACGGATCACATTTGGGACCATAAAATGCAACATAACAAATTTAAAAGAACAGAAATCACACAAAATATTATCTCAGACATAATGAAAATAAACAAACATCAATAACAGAGAGATAGCTTAAAAAATTCCAAATACTTAGAAATTAAACAAAATACTTCTAAGCAACACATGGATCAAAATAAGTCTCAAGAGAAATGTTAAAATATTTTGAACTAAATGAAATTAAATGTATAACTTAAAATTTGTGGGATGCAGTTATCTTTGGAATCTAGAAAAATAAAAGCAAATTAAGCACAAAGTTAGGAGAAGAATAGGAATAAAACTCAGAGCAAAATCTAATGAAATTAAAAACAGTAAACTAATAAAATGTCAACAAAATCAACAGCTCAAAATATCAATAAACTAGAGAATAAGCTAGTTACGCTACATACTAGAGGAGTAGTATTCTAAACAGAGGGAACCGTGTTAAGGTAGTATACTAAAAAGGATGACCAATTTTTAAATAAAAGTAAAGAAGTTACTGTGTTTAGAAGTTTAGTGTGGATAATGAAAGTGTAGATCAGGAGCCAAGTCATGTACTGCCTTGTAGGAAATGGTAAGGAGTTAGCATTCTGTAAGTGAATTCAAAAGAACTTTGAAAATTTTAAGTGATCACATCACTTGCTTTACATATTTTTACAATCTTTCTGACTATACGGTTAAAAATGATTAAAGACGGACATGTTTAGGAGCAAAAGAGAAGTAATTTGACTTTTGAGAAGGTTGGTTGAAAATGACAGGGACGTATATGTTGGGGTGGTAGTCAAGGTGAAAAACAAGCTAATGTCTTAGAGATAAAATATTATGGAGAATACATTTCTACGAGCATACTGCTTAATTCTAAACTCTTAATTTAAAGAGGAACCATCAAATTATACTTCAAAAAGAATTACAAAATTATATTTCAACCAATAATGTGTTAATAACGGTTATCAGTATTATTTATCATTATTTATGTCTCTAATTTTACCTTCAAAATTTAATGGCTCTATCTTCCACAGCAAGCAGTTAAAGTTGAACTTATTTAATTTGAGTGAAATCCTCCTATAGCCATCATGCCCATCTTTTAGGTATTTGTTCACATACCCCATGATTTCCGTGGTCAACTTCTGTAATAATGTGCAGTGTCCTAAATTTATATCCTACAGATGCTCCCATGAGAGCTTGGAAAATTTAAATTATCTGAGCTTAATTCATCATCTGTAAAACTGTAACAAAGAAGTTATATCTTCCCTATTTATAATGTGGTTTTAAGATATTGAAAGTAGTTTCTAATAGTAAGAGAAAAAAATGATAGAAAGTAATTATTTATAAAATAATTTTAGAATAAGACCTTAGTTTTTAAATAATAACTTTATTGATGTATAATCATCTACCATACAAGTCACTCATTTAAAATTTACAGTTTAATGGTTTTTAATATGTTCAGATTTGTACAATACTTTTACCTCAATTAACTTTAAAATATTTTCACTATGCCTCCCAAAAAAAAAAAAAAAAAACCATTGCCATTAGCAGTCAATCTCCTTCCATTTCCCTCAGCATCATCAGTCCTAGGAAATAATTAATCTGCTTTATGCTTCTACTGATTTGCCTATTCTTTATAGATAGATAGATACATAGATAGATAGACAGATAGATGATAGACTCTTGTAATATGTAGTCTTTTGTGACTAAATTATTTCACATAAAATAATGTTTTTAAAATTTATACATATATGTAGCATGTATCAGTGCTTAATTTTTTATAGAGTCAAATCATATTTTATTATATAAATATATCACATTTTATTTATTCATCAATTGATGAATATTCAGTTTGATGACATTTTGGGCTTATATGAATAATGCTGCTATAAACATTTTGTGCACACGTTTTTGTGTGGATTTTTGTTTTCAATTTTCTTGTGTATATACTAGAGTGGAAATTGTTGGGTTGTATGATAACTCCATGTATAAACTTTGGGGAACTGACAATTGTTTTCCAAAGCAGTTGCAAAATTTTACATATCTGCTGGAAGTATATGAGGGTTTTGATTTCTCTGCATCCCCCTCAACACTTGGTATTATTTGATTTTCAATTCTAGTAGGTGTGAGTTGGTATCTTGTTGTGGTTTTTGATTTGCATTTCTCTGGTGGCAATTGCTTACCACCAAACTTGAATTGTTTTAGAGTATCCTGATCTCTTTAACTTAACTCAGAGTGAACTTACCCAAGTTTTATCTGTTCCAAATAAAATCATTTTCCTTAGGAAAAGCTTTATAGTGCTGTGTTTACATGACATGGCTGAGGTCCCAGCCATGGGAGACCTTTTCTCTCTGTCTGAGAAAGAGAGTCCCAGAAATAATGATTATTCATTCTTGGGAGAGAACTTCTGCAACACAGAGCTGGGGTAGATGAGAAATGCTGGTGGTCTGCCCCTCTGGTGAGATACTGTAGCCCTTGACAGGAAAGTTGGGGAAAAGGAACACTATCTCCTTGCTTTTATACACCCAGTGTAAAGCTTTGGCCATGCTGACTTAGGGAGGTAATAAAGGAAGCTGGTCATATCTCAAGTATTATGGACTACTGCTGTTCTTATGGAGATTTAAATTTTCTAGTTTCTTTTTACCTTGTATCGCTTCAGGACAATTTTCAGAGACTTTACATGTTTTCTTTGTTTTTCTACTTTTTACGAGTTTTGGTTGTTTAAATGGAAAGCATATGCACAACGAAACAAACTTGAACAGCTACTCCAGAAGTCACCTTCCAAATTTGGATTTCTTTCCTCCACAAAAGAATAAATGATTAAGATGCTTAAAAATACTTAAGCAGCTAAATTCTATCTCAGATGTATCTGTTAACTGTATGTGATTTTATGTTTTATTTTTAAATAACATTTTATAAACTGTAAGAAATATTTTAAAAGTTTATAAATGTTGTATGGATTAATAATTTATGAAAAAAACCACAAAAACTTAGTAGCCACTTCCTAGGATAAACATAGAAACATATATTTGTTTTGGATTTGAAAATTTCAATGGCCTGGACATATACAATTTTCATAAAGTGGAAGTATGTAGAAAGCGTTTTCCTTCATTTTATTGTGTCAGGTTTAAATAGACTTTTAAAGAATAACAGAAACTATGGTTGAAAATATAAATATCTACTTTCATGTTCAGCACTAACAGACACAGTTTGAAAGTTATGACTCCTGTATTATATCAAAAAATTAGAAAAAAATCAATGTCTTGAACATGTCAGAAAAAATGAGATCACAGGGCAAATTGCTAGCCTTGAAATGTAGAGAGATAGGTATATGCAAAAAGATGTGGCAATTGATATCTGTTTATTTGCAGCAAAAACTTCTGGAACAATAAGCTAATAGGAACTCTGTTGGTTTGTTCTTTTTTTCTCTTTGTATTTAAGTTTTAAACCTCTTTTCTTCTATATTCAAGCTCATGATTATTTTCATAATTTTTTCAGTCTACGGAGGAGCTCATCAAAGACATTCTTGATTTCTGTATTTTTTTTGTAATTTCTAGCATTTCCTTTGACTTTTTTTCTGAACACGTCCATCTCCCTTCTCATACTACACATCTGTTCTTACATGTTGTTAACATTTTTCATTAGAGCCCTTAATATATTAGCTGTAGTTATTTTTAATTACTTGTCTCATAAATTCAAAGTCAATGTCATATGTGAATCTGGTTCTTTTTTTTTTCCATTTTAATTTGTAGATATTTTCTTTTTTATTTATTTATTTATTTATTTTTATTATTATACTTTAAGTTTTAGGGTACATGTGCACATTGTGCAGGTTAGTTACATATGTATACATGTGCCATGCTGGTGCGCTGCACCCACTAACTCGTCATCTAGCATTAGGTATATCTCCCAATGCTATCCCTCCCCCACTCCCCCCCACCCCACAACAGTCCCCAGAGTGTGATATTCCCCTTCCTGTGTCCATGTGATCTCATTGTTCAATTCCCACCTATGAGTGAGAATATGCGGTGTTTGATTTTTTGTTCTTGCGATAGTTTACTGAGAATGATGATTTCCAATTTCATCCATGTCCCTACAAAGGACATGAACTCATCATTTTTTATGGCTGCATAGTATTCCATGGTGTATATGTGCCATATTTTCTTAATCCAATCTATCATTGTTGGACATTTGGGTTGGTTCCCAGTCTTTGCTATTGTGATAATGCCGCAATAAACATATGTGTGCATGTGTCTTTATAGCAGCATGATTTATAGTCCTTTGGGTATATACCCAGTAATGGGATGGCTGGGTCAAATGGTATTTCTAGTTCTAGATCCCTGAGGAATCGCCACACTGACTTCCACAATGGTTGAACTAGTTTACAGTCCCACCAACAGTGTAAAAGTGTTCCTATTTCTCCACACCCTCTCCAGCACCTGTTGTTTCCTGACTTTTTAATGACTGCCATTCTAACTGGTGTGAGATGGTATCTCATTGTGGTTTTGATTTGCATTTCTCTGATGGCCAGTGATGGTGAGCATTTTTTCATGTGTTTTTTGTCTGCATAAATGTCTTCTTTTGAGAAGTGTCTGTTCATGTCCTTCACCCACTTTTTGATGGGGTTGTTTGTTTTTTTCTTGTAAATTTGTTTGAGTTCATTGTAGATTCTGGATATTAGCCCTTTGTCAGATGAGTAGGTTGTGAAAATTTTCTCCCATTTTGTAGGTTGCCTGTTCACTCTGATGGTAGTTTCTTTTGCTGTGCAGAAGCTCTTTAGTTTAATTAGATCCCATTTGTCAATTTTGTCTTTTGTTGCCATTGCTTTTGGTGTTTTAGACATGAAGTCCTGGCCCATGCCTATGTCCTGAATGGTAATGCCTAGGTTTTCTTCTAGGGTTTTTATGGTTTTAGGTCTAACGTTTAAGTCTTTAATCCATCTTGAATTGATTTCTGTATAAGGTGTAAGGAAGCGATTGGTTCTGATGCGTCCTATGCATCTTCAGACTGTACTTGGCTTTTAGAATGACTAGTAATTTTACTGTTGAAAGCTGTTCATTTTGTATCAGGTAACAAGAACTGAGAAAATAAGCTTTTTTGTAAGGATCGATGTTACTGTGGCTAGGAGTTGACCTGTTTTCTGTAGCCATAGATGCCAGCAATTTCAACTATATGTATTTGTCTATCTTGTTGTCTTTGGGATTCACTAAGTACTTCCCTTAAGGGAGAGTATTTTTCCTGAAGCTCTTTTCTCTGTAATCCACTGTTATTGTATTGGAGGCATCATAATTAATGGTAAAGGGATGACTAAAGGGAAGCATTCTATAATCTTATGACTAGATCCATCATTTAATGGCCTATTATTTGAGGCACAGTCCTCTACAGTGTTTCTTAGCTCATTTTACCCTTTTATGTAAAACAGAAAGGTTAAAAGGGGCTGCAGTCAGAGCAATGTTTCTCCTTCATGTCAGATCAGACTTTGTTAAAATCTTTTTCCTTAGAAAGTAGGCCTTTCTTAGGAAGAACACAATGAGCATATTTCACAATGGTTGATGTTTCTCTTTTTCTTCCAGTACAGTGAGGATATCTTTCCTGATTCTTCACTTAGTGGAGTTTCTCATGATAACATTCACTAAAGAGTTGTGGGCATCCTAAGGGGGCAAGTTTCTCACTCTCACATTAGTTCACACTCAGCCTCCAGTAATTCTTTAAAATGTCATTTAAAGGTTTCTACCAGTTCTTGGATTAGCGAGATCTATTTCAGATATGCAGATCTTGGCTAGGACTAAAGAATTTCTCTCTCTCCAAATACTAGGATGGTAGATTGCTCTGCAACCTTACTTATGTGATGGGTTCAAAAAATGTAAATAATTTTCTATTTGCTCAGCTTTAAAATAATTAAGTGAAGTAACAACTTCAGAAGCTCTTTACATGTTGGTGTTGAAATTGAAATTCTTAATAATCACTTTAGATATAGTTGTGTAAGCATCCAAATAAAAGATAAGGATTATCAGAGTGCATAAGTGAAAATAATTCTGTTCTTTATTTAAAAGCTCATTTTAAATGTAAATACTCAGACAGATTAAAAGTAGAAGAACAATAAAAAATATACCATGCTAACAGTAATCAAAGAAAGCTAGAATAGCTATATAAATTTCGGAACAGAGTTCAAATGAAGTTAATCAAGAATAAAGAGCATGATGTTAACGGGGTCAGTTGTCCAAGAAAGCATAATGATTCAAGGCATCTCTGCTTTTAAAACAGTACTTCAAAATATATATGTTTAAAAAAATCCCGATAGAGTTTAATGGAAAAATATAGAAATCCCTGTGATAGTTGGTGACTTCCCTACCTTTTGTCAATAATTGATATAAAAAAGGGCAGAACATTTATAATTATACAGAAGACACAAATAGCACTTTAAGTCAACATGATATAATTGACATTTATAGACATTCAATCCAAAGCAGCAGAATATACATTTTTTTCAAGCTCACATTGAACAATTACAAAGGTATAACAACTGAGATATTGAACACATCTTAAGAAATTTAAAAGAATAAAAATAATATAATGTATTTTTTAAAACAGAAGTTTATTAGAAAGGAACCAAGAAGAGGTAGTTGGAAAAGTCCCCAACATTAAGAAATAAACACATTTCTAAATAATTCAAGGGTTAAAAAGAAGTCTTAAGAGAAATACATACACACATACACATATAAATGAAGAACAAAATCAAATGTATTAAAATTAGTTGGATGCTATGAAAGCAGTACTGAAATGAAAATTATTAAATGCATATATTAGGAAGAAGCATCTAAAATTAATAATCAAAGCTTCTATTTCGGGATTCTAGGACCCAAATATGTTGGTAAACTATTATATCCTCTAGCCTAGCTTGGAAGAAAGAGCAGTTTGAAGCAGCCAGAAAGTACTTTATAGCTTTATCTGCTACATTTAAACCTCAGACAGATGCAGAGATGAAGGCGAAAGACAAAAATCTCTGTCTTCAAATATATTACTAAGTAGGTGAGGGTTAGTATGCTATTATCTTCATGCCACATTCAGCCTTTAAAATATTTTTGTTGTTATTGTTGTTGTTATTTGTTCGTTTGTTATTTTAGCCCTATTTCAAACTTTTAAAACCCGGTAAGTCACAAATCCTGTCACATACATTTGTTTCAGTGAATTTCACATTAAACTGTTATTTGTTGCTAGTTTCTATACAATGGTTTAAAATGAAGCTGCCCGCCTGTGCTCTGAGATGGGGAGCAGCAATTGAATGATTATCCACAGGAGGGTTATCGTGAAAAAGCAGCAGCAATCACTGAAAAAGTGCTCCCAACTTTATAAAAATAACTATAACTGTTAAAGGTCATCTTTTGTAATAAAGCTTTACAAATATATTACAAGTTCATTATTTACAATATAAATTATCTCCCTTAAAGATCTCTGTTAAGGGTTTCAAAATAGGTCAAGCCATTTTTCCTAACACAAACTGTACAAAAAATTAATAATTATGCTCATTTACACACTTAGCCTATGATTTGAAAGTCAAGTTATTTTATTTTTATTGAATACGACAGTTTTTTGAACTTAAAGTTAATTGTTAAATAGTGTAGAATAATAACATATGTCTGATTTAGAATTTGTATATAAAACTTAAGAAATGTTTGAAATAGAAGAGCAACATTTTTCATAGAGGTAAGATTTGAAATAAGAAAGTTCCAACTTTGAAAGTATTATCAAGTTATACTGCTGGGACTGAAGATACAAATATTTTAATGTTTAGAATGACAATAGGATTAAAGTGGTATCAAACTTCAAAAATAATCAGGAAGTTTAAATATGTTAATTTTGGAAGAAAATGAGTAAGATGGTAATTGTTGCTCATATAAATGTCTAGCACGACTGCTTTTGGGGGTTAATCCTTTAAAAAGCCCTATGTGAAACAAACAATTTCAGAAAATGAATAAGATAAGAAATAATTTATTATTCAGTCTAGCTTGTCAAATACAATCTAAAAATAAATAAAATACTTACGAAAATAAGCTAAGTACCACAAAAAATTATCAAATTGAAATTATCAAATTGAAACAAAATTATAACGGAAATATTAGCAATTTACAACAGTGCTGGCAAACATTAAGAAACAATCAGTATATATACATTATACCTATTAAGCTTTAGATAATATTTTATGTTACATAGATGTTGATTAACATGATGAAACAATAACCAGATAATCCTTAATTGGGAAAAAAATTATAGAGGGGCTGTGGGTAAGAGCTTTGGCACATTTGTGTTGATGATACTTACAAGTTTTTGTTGCATCTCTTTATTTCCAATTCTGATTTGTAATTTTTTACATGGACATGCTATTTATAGGTACACAAAATAGAAATCTCCTGATTTTTTGTCACTGAAATTTATCATTAAATACATTTAATTCAGTAATAACTTATAAAAGCTAGATCTATATCTTGAAACTTTTGAGGAAAATATGGCAATGGATTGTTAACAGGTGTGTTACCAAGATCTTGCACATTATGCAAAAGGCCATAGACATTAATATTGTATATTTTTAGTAAATGATTAGTGATAGTATATTTAGTAATTTTCCCTGTGCATAAGAAATAATTTCTGATTATTTTCAAATAATTAAATTATATATTTTACTTATTAACAGCCAAGTTGTCTAAAAGAAGGTAAGTTTCAGGAATGTGTAAAAAATTAGTTTTGTCAAGGAGCTACCTCCATTATAGAGGATAAGACTTTGCATTATTTTATTGGAATATTTAAGGACAAGAATAATTGTTAAGTATTTAAAAATTGACTCCCAGACACCAGATATTTGGAACACACAGACACTAACATTTTACTGTTAACTAAGTTCTTTTGGAGAACTTTAGTTCTGATTTATGCTTATGTTATTTTTGTCTTTTTGGCAAGACAGATTTTAAACACTCTTAATAAAGAAATCTCACTGCCAGAAACAGCGTTCTAAGTAGATTACATGTTCTGACTTCCTTGCTTTCTTTGGTTCCAGATAATGTTCCAAGCTCAGTTCTTTGACATCTCTATTTACTCTCATAAGCTACAAAAATATCTCTCTGTTGAAGTCTTCCGTGTTTAAGTTAGGAATACATAGTTTCTTTTATGTGTAACCAATAAACTGGACTCATATAGAAATTGGTACCAGTAGGGAATTATAGATAAAAAAATATACTAACAAACATTACCTGGTCTTTTAGGAACTGAATGTGATGAAAGTACTAAGGGAAAATACAGAAAATAATCAGGAATGAGACCCGGGCAACCCAAGTCATTCCATGTCAAAATAGCTAATTAAATAATTGGCTGTTGTCATCTTAAATGAAATCACATTGAAAGCAAGGCTTTCAAGGACTCATCCAGCATTGCCATAAATGTTATGTAATGCAAGGATTGTGAATTGAAGTGTTCACATCAAATTTTGATAGGCAGTCTGAAAAAAGAGAATCACAAGACTGAATCTATAAATTGTCTAGTTCAAAGCAGAAACTGAGAAGCTGGACTTCCTGTGAACATGCTAAAAGCTTTTCTTTTGAGCTGCAGGGCTGTGGTAGCCAAAAGCAAATGCAAGGTCTGATCTTTCAGAATGCCAATTTATAATCTCAGTAGACTTTAGAGTTTCACTAAGCACAAGATAAGGAATTTCTTAAGAAACTTTCAGACCCTGAGAATTCAAAAAATTTTATATGAGAGAATTGTAAGGACATTGACTATTCCAAACCACAGTCCCCTGTGAGTCTCACTTGTCTTCTAAACCTGATTTATTCTCTTGCTAAAAGATGTTCTAATTTTCTAAAATGAGAAAAATACCGTCCAGAAAGAATAAAAGCAAATTATCCTTATGGCACACGTTTCCTATTCTTTGACTTTGTCTTTTTTTCCCCTAGAAATATAATTAAAGTTATATTTCAGCATGCGCTGTGTTCATTTACAAAGTCAAACCTAAGATATATGACACATAATTAAATACTTTTAATTAATATCAGCCAAAATTTGGATAATACATGGTAGAAATCAATTCTTAGAAAAAGCCAAATACACAAAAATATAGTTTTAGTTGCAGCTATGAAGATAAATATATGGGTACACTGATATTTATTGAATTGAATGTAGTAGTTTATACAGCTGACACTGTTCCTATAATTTCCCCAGATGGGCACTAAAGTGATGCAAACTAAGTGATTTTTAGATTATATATATTCCTGAAATAATGTATAGATAAGTATGAAATCTTACCTCCTAACTCTGCAAATATGTTATCTCAAATTATTCTAGAAGCTATATCCTTCATCAAGGCTTGAGAAAAATACTGACTTTGAGTCAACCTACATCTTTGAAAAGTATTTAATGTATGTTTTCTGAAGACTAGGGTTGCTTGAGTGAGATGTAATAGTTGAAATGGTCACTAGTTTTTTTTTTGTTTGTTTTTGTTTTGGTAAGGGCAAGATCTCATAACACATACACTCAAGTATTAGAGTTAGCAATATCGAGGCAAAGTAGGAATAATTAGCAGAATAGGCAGCAAATCTAGCATGGCTACCGGAAAAGTCTAACATCAAAATATGTTTTGAATCAACTAATTTATCATAAGATGTCCAAGACCTGAAAAGATGAGCAGCTGACAAATGTCCATCTTAATTTCTATAAATGAAAAATTCTAGTTCCAATGAATACAGTCACTATTATAAAGTCACTAACTTTTAAGAGCTCTGTCATAAATCTCCCCATGCTGAACAACTTGAATGAAGAAGAGTTGTTGAAATAACACCACAGTTACATTCAGTGAATATTTTCTCCAAGTCTCCCTGACAGTGGCCAGTGGATATTAAATAAGGTAATCATAGTAGAAAAGTAAATACCCAATATTTAAATGACTGGACAGTAAAAACTGACAGAAAGTAATTTTTGACAACCCATAAAACAATTTTGGTTTATTACTCAGAATGGAAGCTTATGGATAGTCACTAATTTTAACCAATATGCACCTTTCAATAGACTCAATATGGTCTAGATCTAAACAAATTATCTATGGTGGCTCCCAGATCCACAGGGTTAAAAATATGATGGCAAATTTAGCAAGCCAGGATCATTGGAACTTCTTTCCTACCAGAAGAAAGCAAGCCCATGATCCTGAGGGCTGCAAAACCATTACAGTTTTGAAAAATGCTTCAGTGTCATAATGAGTTATAACACCTCCCTGAATAGATTTTATAATTTGACTATAGGTGTATCTTGGGGATGGAAGATAAATTATTATAAAAAGTTTGATATAATGGCAACTCTTAATTGCAGCTGCTGTTCCAGATCTTTATTGAAATTCTTCAGCATATACAAATCCTATATTTAGAGTGCAGTTATGATGTGTCAAAGGTTTATTTTCTCTGTGATAGCAATTCTCAAAGAATGGTCTGTGGGACCATGATGGTCCCCAGAAGCTACCTGAGGGTCTGTGAGGACAAAACTACAGTAACATAATATTAATAGATTATTTGTCTTTTTTATTTTGATGACACTTACACTAATGGTGTCTAAAAATTAGTGGGTGAGGCCAGGCACTGTGGCTCATGCCTGTAATTCTAGCACTTTGGGAGGCCGAGGTGAGCGAATCATCTGAGGTCAGGAGTTGGAGATCAGTCTGGCCAACATGGCGAAACCCTGTCTCTACTAAAAATACAAAAATTAGCCAGGCATGGTGGTGGGCGCCCATAATTCCAGCTACTCGGGAGGGCTGAGGCTGGAGAATCACTTGAACACAGCAGGCAGAGGTGACAGTGAGCCAAGATCATGCCATTGAACTCCAGCCTGGGTGACCAGAGCAAAACTCCATCTCAAATAAATAAATAAATAAATAAAATAAAATAGTGGATGAAACTGTTGGCACATTAGCATGCATCAATATGGTGGCCCTTAAGTTGGGAATACTAGCATGGTATTTGAAGCTGGATATAAATGGATCAATGCTTTTTGGGTTCTAAAGAATATGATGTTTAACCCTGGGTGATTTTTTTTCCAAACAAGTTGTCCCTGAAGCAAACAGGTAAGAAATATAATTCTCAAACTCTGCAGAAGGAAGATAATATGACACACATAATTGATCTAACAGTTTATCTTAATATAGAATTGCAGAAGTTTGCCACATACCCACTGTCTTCAGAAACCTTTAGCGAAACAGAGATGGCTGGGAGAAATTGAAAATCCACCAAGAGCTGAGGCAGCTTTTGCACCGCTTCTGACTTGGAGAACTATTTTTGGTGACTTTCCAACATTTCTGAAACATCAAGTAATGCAAGGGAGCACAGGAATTAATATTGAATTAATCATTCATTTCTGACATAATATTTTTAATTTAAATTAGTATTTGAAGTTTATTATTAGGAAAACATTTACATTTAGGTGGATTCCTTCTGCCTTCTTGAGTTAAAAATTTGATTCTAACTGCCATTAAATGTTGAATCCTTCTCCATCCTGAATCAGAAAACAGGCCAAGTTCAAGACATTTTTACAGACTTTCCAACTGATAGTAAAGTATAAATGTTTTCTAAGTAATATTGTTGGCAGCAATGCAAGTCTTATGGATATTCATTAGCATTTAAATTTTTTATTGCTATTATATCAGAATACTTATTGTTAGATAATAAAATGAATTAATTTATTATTGTTAACTATTTTGAGCATTTAGGAAACTAAAAATTTGTTTTCCTTCTCCATTCTAGGTTTTATAATGTAATATAATTAATACTTTGTAGAATACTTAACATAAATGTGTTTGGAAATCATTATATCATGTGATTTATGATTTAATAACTGCAAGTGATTCATCATTTTCTCTACTAAAAATGAGAATTATTTTCCCATAAACATGTTTGATAAACATTAAATTTAACCTCTTTTATACAAAATGTATATTTCCTGAAGAAAAGGCTTTTCTATTTTTTCATTATAACTTCACTGATATCTGATCTTATCCTTATTTTTTTTCCTTCTTCTTGCTTTAGGTTTATTTCGCTTTCCTTTTGCTAGGTTCCTGAAGTAGGACTTTAGAGTATTGATTTGAGACTTCAAATTTTCCAATATATGCATAGAGTGCTAAAACTTATTTCTTTAAGCATTTACTTAGTGTGTCTCCCAAATTCAGATAGGTGTATTTTTACTTTTATTTACAGCAGTCTATTTTTTCCCTGTGATGTATTTGTCTAGTTTTGGCTTCATACTAATAATGTCCTCATAGAAAGAACTGAGCACATATGTGGTAGAGTTATTCATTATTTTTTGCTCCATTTATACGACCATTGCATTATAAAATAAACATCTTTTTCTTTATTTGACAGAATGACAGAAACAGCAGTTCTCATCAATATTTTAACTGTCTCCCTATATTTTCAAACATCCATTCATCTAATTTGTGCTATGAACATAGCCAATGCAATGTAAACAGGAGTGAAGTTCTTAGGCATTACAAGGTCCTACACAACCCCTTGGCTCTATGTTCCTCTGTTGTGATGCCCGAAAAGACTTTGTGCTCCAGTTGGTACAGTCCCAAGTTAGTGGAACCTCAGTTAGGGTGGGTTTCTGATGAATTTTGTGGAGCAGATCCCTCTGGCATCCCACATTGCACATATGCATTTATTTATTTTATTCATTGCTTGTGGGTTTTCTGTTTTTTCTGTCTTCTCAAGTAGAATATATGCTCTTTAAAAGTATAAGCCTTTTTTTGTATATCTCAGCAAACATTAACCACCTAGTAATAAAGGTTTGTAGATATTTGTAGTATGTAAAAAATTAGATATTTGATTTGAATTTAAGCATCTTAAAAATTTTAAAAAGTATTAAAATTCAAATTATATGCCAAATTTTATCATATGAATACTACCAAAACTGTTCCTTATATAAGCAGGATAACATACTAACTTGTGGCTTTGAAATAAAATGTGTTTTCCATCATATCCTATCTTTCAAATTCTTACTAATTCTTCCTTACAGCGTTGTGCTTTATGATTTAAATATATATTAATATTCACTTACAAAAATCATATAATAATTATATAACTTACCCACGCATGCAGCCAACTCCTTTAAGCACCAGACAAATGTTAGGCACATCCAGTCAGGGCATGGCTTTATTGTAGTTTGTCTATAGTGTTAAGTAAACATATTAAGTATCAAATCCACAATGATGCATACTACATGTTATAGAAATAAATCTATTTGATTAGTATTTTAATACTATAATATTAACAATATATCCTATGAAAATAAATAATGATTCATAAAAATTTGGTGTAAGGTGATTTAGAATGAGGTTTTCTGCACATTGCATCCCTTTACTTCATTGTCTGCTACTCTTATACCACATTATTGAAACTTTCCATTTGATATCAGACACATCTGCACAAGCTCTATTTACAAGGGTGGCTACTGGCTTTCTTCTAGACAACAATGACTTGTTCATGAAATAGAAACTTAGTCTAAACTGGATCAAGCATTGCTTTTCCTAATATTTATATATTCTGAAACTGCAATATGTTCACCCTTTTTCTTTTTTTTTTTAAGTTGGATTGACAAAGAATTGAATTAGTTTGTGGCTCTCGAACCTACCCCAATGCACAGCCTATGGAGAAAAACCATGCATGTTGGCAAAGAATCAAATTACAAGGCCAAGATATGACATAAAGAGTCAGCTCCTCTTGCTCCTCTTTTTGTGACCTGATGAATACTTTACTGCTTAAACATGTATTGGGTTTTTGTCTGTTCCAATTAGAATTCCTGGAAAAAAGTAGTTCAATAGTAGTGAATTATGAAAGAGAAAAGGTGAGAAAAACATCCCAAATGTCTAAGAATAAGAGATTGAGTGAGCATATTTTTTATGTAAAACTAAGAATAAGTTATCATGTCTATGGAAATGTCATATTTAATGTTATGAATAAGTATTTACAAAGCATTGTTAAAATTCCATGCACACACACACACGCATATTTATAACTAGATTTAAGCATACATGTACATTTGTAATCAGTTTTATGATTGGCTCACAGGTGGGCCGCACCAATGATAGCTGACACTTAGTATCATTTAAACTTATGGTCATATAACTATTCTCTATTCTTCCCAGAATTAAAAATGTAAAACGTCTATTTACCTTGGGCCTTTCGTGAAATACTGTAACATCAATGCCAAAGGATGCAGTACATAACTTAAATACTGTTTATTGGTTCTTCCTTATAGCTCTTCACAATAGCGATTGGGAGAATAAAAGAATGATGGGATCACTTTTGCTGATCCCTGGACTATTAAGCCTTTCTTAACTGACTCATCAATTCATTCAAATAAATATGTATTCAACACTGCATATCCATCAGATGCTCTTCTAGGCTACAGCAGCAAACAAGACAGAAAATGTCCCTGTGGATATTCCTTAGGATGTAGATAGGAAACACACACACACACACATATACACACAAACATACACATTCACACATATAAAAATAAGGTGACTCTATGGTCTTTTATAAAGGTTGAAAATATGCTAGGGAACTATGAATGCAAATACCACTATTTTTACAGAATAATTAGCAATATTATTTCTGAGGGTTTGTCATAAACATAGTGACCTGAATAAAGTGAAAGAGACTGGCAGATGGGCATATGGAGGGTTGGGGGAGCACTCAAGGCAACGTCAAGGGCAAGTGCACGTCCCCTGAGGCAAGATCAAACATGGAGTGCTCAAAGAACAGGAGGACAAAAATTGTGGCTGTATCCCAGTGAAAAATAATAAATTTCCAGACACAGTTGCTCTATCCTGTAGTTACAACAATTTGGGAGGCTGAGGCGGGAGGATCAGTTGAGCTCAGGACTTCAAAACTAGCTTGGGCAACATGGCAAAACCCCATATCTACCAAAAATACAAAAATTAGATGGACGTGGAGGTGCGCACCTGTGGTTCCAGCTACTCAGGAGTATAAGGTGGGAGGATCGCTTGAATGTGGGAAGCAGAAGTTGTTGTGAGCCAAGATCACGCCACTACACTCCATTCTGGCTGACAGAGAGAGACCCCATCAAAAAACAAACAAACAAACAAAAAACCAAACAAACAAAAAAACAAGTAAATAAGTATATAGATAATAAATAAATATAAAAATAATGAATGGCAAAGAGATCAGAGAGTTTCCAAGGGTCTGGATCTTAGAAGTCCTTGTAAGCCATGCTAAGAACTTACATTAATTTATATTTGTTTTTGATTTTAGATAATAATGTATATTTACTTTGTTTTAGAAAAGAAAGACAAAGGTGCAAATTTTACAACTTAAAAAGTAAGAGGAGAGACTTTAGGGACAATTTGCCTTCTGAGTACATTATATTTACCTGAAAAAATATGCAATCCCTAACAAATTAAACTGTCATGCATAAAAAAACTCTTGAACTGTAATTGTCCTATTTCCAGTCAGCAAGTATGAAATAATTAGTATAACTTAATTATCCAAGATTGTCCCTCAAATTATCCTTATACTTTAATTTCTATGAGTATTATATGTTATAAATTATTGGCCTCTTAGTACCTTCAAAAGATTACTGAAGTTTATTTACCAAAATAAATTTACTTCATCAAAATTATTGTAGTAATAACCCAAAAGAAATAAATTTCTTATTATAAATTTTAAATTGTTGTTTTCTTTTAAATGTTTCTCTCCAAGCCTGGTGTCTATGCATATGTATACACAGATTTTATTAATTATAATTATAAAATCCAATTTATATTTTTTCACTTAACATTTATTTGTATCCCTCATTTTCATAATCATGCTGATTATATCTAATCTAAACTGAAATCTACAACTACATTATAGAGCAACTGCCTATTAATCAACTCAATAATGCAACTTACATTTCCAAACTCAACACAGGACATCTTACAGTGATTTATAATTTATGTTTCTTATGCAGGAAAATTAATTCATGATTAATTTATTCTTATGAAACAATCTTTTACTCTGGTAGTCTTGCTTCACAATACTTCATTATAGATTTTAACTTGGAACTAGTTGACGTTTTCTAAGATTTTCACTCTGATCATGTAATAAATTTGACATAAATGAAAATATATATTTTCTTACCAGTTTAAATTTCAAAATTCAAATGTGGTATTATATACAACTTCATTGGTTAGAAATTTTTAATCTTCTCTACAGGCAGTAGCAATACATATTCAAACTGTCTCAAATGCTGTGCTATATTTTTACATTTGCTAGTTCTCTTATGATTGCAGAATAAATATACTTTCATTTCAGTTTGTTATTTTAAAGCTATGTCTTGTGGGTAAGAAAGAAAGTAATAATTTCTTGTCACAAGAAAGCTATAATTATGTGCATTTATATTTAACCTTTGTAGATATTACTCATTAGCATCTAGTAGCACTCGCATAGTTTACATTTTGATACACAACTTTTGTATAATGCCTGTAATGACTATGGTAATCTTTGACTTCAGACTGTTTTTTTCTTTGAAAATATTTCATCAATGTCAGAGTGCAAACGTCTAACAACAAGGCATTGGGTGACATCTATAATGTTTTCTACTATTATAAAAATTCAATCATGTGAATACCACTTTTAGAAAACATCTACTTTTTTATAAGTGTGAAAGATGAGAGTGAAAGGCCTAATCCATAAAAGCAAATGCTAAACAGGAAGATTGTAGAATAGCACTGACTCAAAGGAAATCAAATTGACAAAATAATCAGGGGTGGAAGGATAGGTTAGGGAGACCTAGCTACCCTGTTATATCTTAAAGTAACACAAAATTAAAGTTCTCATTAATGGGCTTTACTGTCTTGACATCAGAAGCAAGTAGAACACATCATCAAGAGGAAATCGGCATTTCTTTCTAAGTAGCTGTTCCTTTCCTTTCATCACTTGTCATCACCTTTATATAGATCATATATTATTAACAATAACACTGTGGAGGTTTTAAAAGACTGAAAGAAATTTCACTGCCTGACATGTTTCTCAATAGATCATAGGCACAAGAGTGTGTTGGATTCAGGCATTCACAAACACTTTTATCCCTTTACAAAATTGTTTTTAGATTTTGTTCTGACTTTCCAAGTGCTTTTAATGGAATAAATAATAAATAGAAAATGTTGGAATTTAATAAAAGCGATCGAAATTTATTTTTTGCCAATGAATGGATATTTTGTTGTATGTTAATGGCTGCAGACATGTCCTTTTTATCTTTTTGAAGGGTAAAGTAGATGATCTGTTGTTTTATTCTAAACTTAAATTCTGTCATCTGATTTATTTCTAGTTACTCCAATTCCTTTGCATTTTTAATAAAAGTAAAATGAGGAAAAATAGAGCATTTTCATATTTTGTTTTAGATTACTACTGAATATCATAATACACATGTATATTAAATATATATTTTTATATAAACATGTATGCCCACTTGGTGTTCATATTATAATCAATGATTGCCTTTATTATTTATAGTGAAATTCCTATTTTCTGATAAACATAGACTGATTTTGTTTTCCATCAGCCCAGTTGAGCATTATTTTATCATTTTATGTGATTTAAAGTGAACTTACTTAAATATGACTGTGATCCACAGTTCCACTAGAGTGTACTATAAAGATCTGGTTGAAGCGGCCAGCCTTAATAGATACATCTTGGCAGAGAAGATTCTTAGAGAAGAATGGATTTTCCATCTTTCTGCAACTAATCAGTCCCTTGCCAAAAGCAGATCTTACTTTTATTATCTAATGGTAAACTGGAAACTGCTAGCCTAATATATATCACCCAATTTTTAAATTTCTCCTGCATGCATTTACCTTAAAGGAGCATATAAACTTAGACTTTTAAAATTAATCCTGCTTTCTTCTAATTTGTTCACTCTTTTTCTTTGTTCCAAAGGTATTATAACACAATTAATGTAAAAAATACATCATTAACATTTATCCAATAAGGTTAGGTACTTTCTAATGAAATTCTCCACTTAGTTTTCAAGAAAGTTTTAAATAAGAAAAAAGTCAAATTAGTTATTCCTACTTAAAAATATATGAGGGATTTCAATACCCATTAAGTATAAGCCCTTAAGAAATATAAAACTATAAATAGTTGAAAATGCATTTTGCTATGATTAATAGTTTAAGTCAATGGCGATTCAACAGATTTGCAGAGTAAGTGATGTTGAGTGCAATTTCTTTTTCTTAACATTTAATTTTGAATATGAGATCTCTGTTCCAAGTTATTTACTGAAGCTAATTTTGAATAAACAACCTTGTTGATCTATAGATAATCCTTCTCAAATAGTGTCATATTGCCACTATTTCCCATTAGGCAACAAGCACAAGGTTAAAACAAAAACAAAACAAAAAGAAACAAAAAAAAACAGGTAAAGTAGCTTGAAAAGACCTATGACTATGATTATTGGTAACAAGAAACTTATATCAAAAGATTTGAAAATCACAAACTCAAATCAAAACAAAACAAAAAATACCAACACCACCAACAACAAAATTTCTTACCTGACCACCCTTTCCACTCAAAGTAAATAAAGTCAAATGACAGTACTAAAAAACTATATGACTATTTGGGTATAAAAATTAATCTTACCCTTACCTTTCATGGTAGAGAATAGGACACAAAAACTCTGCTGATCCCAGGAACATATTCCCCAATGCCCATTTGGGATGTTGCTACATTAGAATTACTGAGGGATAATTTCCCAGTAAAAGAAAAGTTCCAAAGATAAAGTCCCTTCATAAAGTGGGATCTGATCACAGTAAGAAACATTCTGTAGTCTTAAATATGTAAGAGACAACACATCAAACCTGAAGAACCACATTCAGAACACAGAAAAAGAAGAAACTTTCTCCACTGTTGTATTGTGTCAGCATAATTCTAATGTCAAAACCTTACTAAGACATTATAAGGAAATAAGGAAATAAATTATAGACCTAGATTTGTCATGAACAAAAGCACACACCCATAGCTAAAATACAGGCAAATAAATCCATCAACATTTTTTAAAGTTAAAACATTATAGCCATGTAGGTTTCTCTGAATACTGAAAAGTTAATTAACATTTTAAAACCTAGCGGTATAATTCTGCAAAGTAACATAAAATAAGAAACATAAGATCATTTTAGCTGACAGAAATACCTTTTGACAATATTTGGAATTTATTCATGGTGCAAACTCTCAGCAAATTTGTAGTGTAAGATTTCTCTCAACTTGATATTAGGCACCTATGTGATCATGGGTCAGGCAAAAGTTTCTTGGAGAAAACACAAAAATCATAAGAATAAAAGAAAAAGTATACATAAATTAACATTGTCTTTTATTGAGCCGATTTCGATTTTATTAAAGTCTAATTTATCATGTAATGGTTATTTGTTTCTGTTCTTGTGTTAAAAAATTGTCTTCCCAGACTTCAGTCATGAATGTTTTCCTATGCTGTCCACCCTAAGGATATTATTGTTTTCCTTTTTTAGGTTTAAGTCTACTACCCATCTGATATGGTTAGGCTTTGTGTTGCTGTCCAAATCTTATCTTGAATTGTAATTCTCATAATCCTCGTAATCTCCACGTATCAAGGGAGTGACCACGTGGAGGTAAGTAAATCATGGGGGGGCAGTTTCACCTATACTGTTCTTGTGATCATGAGTGAATCTCATGAGATCTGACGGTTTTGTAAGGGACTCTTCCTTCTTTGCTCAGCATTTCTCTTTCCTGGCACCTTGTGAAGAATGTGCCTTGCATCCCCTTAGCCTTCTGCAATGACTGTAAGTTTCCTGAGGCTGCCCCAGCCATGCTGAACTGTGAGTCAATTAACCTTTTCCCTTTATAAATTACCCAGTCTCTGGCAGTTCTATATAGCAGCGTGAAAATGGACGAATACACAATCTGAAATTAGTTTTTAATTTGAGGTGTGGTAAGGGTTGTTTCATTTTTTTCTCCTGTTTATTCCAAATTAAATGTGTATCTACATTGAACTGTTTTGATAATTTGGTTGAAAATAAGATAACTACATATGTGTATACCCGTTTCTATCAGCTTTCCCATTTTAACAGAAAATCTACTGTAATTCTGAAATTAAACCTGCATTTAAATTAAAATCAATAGACAGATGTGGTGAGGATTACCATATTAACAATATTGAGTCTTTTAATACACATGATATTACTTTATTTATGTAAGTATTTAAAAGTTTCTTTTGATAATGCATTGAAGCACTTAGTGTAGATATCATACACATATTCTAAAAATAATATGTGAAATAATGTGCACCATATTTTTAGAAAGTTTATCTGTAAGCATTTTATGTTTTGGATGCTATTGTAAATAGAATTTTAAAACTCATTGACAATTGTTCATCACTGGAATTGAAATGTATTGTCAGGTGTTGTATACTAACATTGTATTCTGAGACCATGATAACTTATCTTAATCTATGAGTTGCCTTGTAGAATTTTTATGATTTATTACATTAATCATCATGCCATCGAATTAAAGACATGTTTTCATTTCTGAGCTTTATTCTATTTCATTTTTTTGGCTGTATTACAATGGCTAGTATCTCAAGTTCTATGCTGATTGTAAGTAGAATATATGAGGATATTCACCTTGTTCACAGTCTTACGGGGAAAAGGTTCAATATTTTGACATTAACTAAGAGGGTAGTTACTGATTTTTTTAAGTTTCTCTGAGAGAAAGAAATAGAGAGCTGTTTACAGCATTCCTAGGTAATGTAGTTAAAATAAACAAAAACTATTTTGTAACAAAATAATTAAAATTTAGTAAAATATAATTAGCCTTCACAAGAGAAAAGTTATGTCTGTTTAAAACAACAACTTTAGAATGTTCACTGTTTCACAAAATCCAACTTTGTAACATTAAATATTAACATTTTATAAAAAATTAGGTATTTGTACTAACTTGGGGTGAGTCCAGTCCTCACTGTCTCACAGAGACCATCTTAGACATGAATGTGCCTTTTTCCCTGGATAAAATTAGTAAATTTAAAATAAAATTTAAATGTTCCGTAAATGAATTGAAAAATCTTGGAAAGTAAGTCATAAGTAATTGATTTAATACATCTTTTGAAGGTAAGGATTGATTAATTTATGGAAAAGTAGAGAATTTGTTTTCCAGTATTAAAATTTAAATATTATGCTAATTATCCAGAATAAGCAACAATGAGATGACATAAATAATTAGAACTAGAAATTTTAGAATGGAAGATAGTTCATGCATTAAATTTTTTTATTCAAAAGTATAATTTAGGCTGGGCATGGTGGCTCACACCTGTAATCCTGACATTTTGTGAGGCCAAGACAGGAGAATTGCCTGAGCCCAAAGGTTCAAGACCAGCCTGGACAATATGGCAAGACCCTGTCTCTACAAAAAATAAATATATAAATAAACTAGCCAAACATGGTGGCACACACTGGTAGTTCTAGCTACTTGGGATGCTGAGGCAGGAAGATCACTTAAGGTAAAGGTAGAGGCTGCAGTGAGCCATATTCATGCCCCTACACTTCAGCCCAGATGACAGACTGAGATCTTATCTCAAAAAAAAAAAAAAAAGGATGATTTGGAGCTGTGCCAGAGACATATTGTCCCTCTATAGTAACATATTTTGCTAATATATATGGGATAAATGGCAATGTGCAAGTCATATAAGCATACTGAGATTATAAGTTTTGTTTGTTTTTCTCTATTACATTTAGTTAAAGCTTTAATTAATGTGATTGTGCCACCTATGATTGTTGTACATATTCTTATCCACAAACAGAAGTGGTTATAGCCCTAGTTCTGGACTTGAGATTGTATTTGACTTTGATAAGCTAAGCAATTGTATCAATGCTGTTTAGGATAATTAGATGGTTCCCTAAACAAATATCTAGTTGCACATGCATCTTTCCATTTTCCCTCATAGTAACATTCCTGGATTTGATTACATATTTTCCCTCAAAACAGCCTTCTTCTGTCCTGAAAATCTTGAAATATGTAGATTTTCTACAGTAACAATAAGTAAGTATAAATCAAAGAAAAATAAAGGCAGATCTCTAGATTTCTGGATTTCAGGATTCAGTTCACTGTTATTTAGAATTAGTGTAGTTGAAGCAAGGGATCATAATGTGGTGTCCCAATTAAGACTTTGTTGGTAACATAGTACAGGTTTAATACGCTTAATAATAGAACATATCTGTTAAATTTGCAACTTTCCTGTTAAATTTGCAAACACAAAAATACTAAAGTTAAATCCAACAGCTATTATTCAGTTCTCTATATTTTCTATGGTCAAATACTTATTTCTACAACTGTGTTCTTTTCGAGCCCAGAATTTTTTTCAACTTTTAATTACTTTTAATAATAATACACAAATATAGCCATATTTGATATTGATTAAAATTTTAGTTTTAGTTTGCTGTTCATTTATTGGGAGGGAGACTACATTTAAAAACATATAATATTACAAACTATAAAAATAAAGATAATATAAACATAATTTTACTACTTAGGAAGAAAACAGCAAATATAAAATATTTTGTAGCTTATTTCTGCAACATATTATAGATAATATGCAGCATTAATGTTTGGTTCTAAAAGTCAAGTAGTTCATGTATGTTTGATTATGAATATTTTACCATTTTTATTTACTGTTTTGATATTTTAACTGAGATGTTTTCTTTATTTTCCCCCTCTGTCACTACTCCAGAATAGTGAAATAAATACCACTGGGGTATCAAGAACAGTTTTGAGTGCCTCACATAAATAACAACGTAATTCTAGTTGTCAAAGGTGCTTTGATTAATGTACTGAACAAAATCAGTTAGGCTCCACACTCTGGAGTTTTAGATGCTTTTAAGCTGGTGCACAGTATGTCATAACTCTTATTCTTACGATTCTAAGGCTTAAGTGGAAGCTTTATGTATCTCTTGGTAATTCTGTGCAGAGCCAAGTGACAAAACAGATGCAACTGACCTTCTTGCCTAACTCTCCATCTTACATTTAAAAGAAAATTAACAGACATAAAGATGTTAGTATTATCTATGTCTGCAAGATAACAACTCACAAAAATTTGCATAAGTATAAAGTGTGTCTATGAACAATGATTATCAAATAAAGAAAATTATCCATAAAAAGAATGTTAATCAAAAGCTATTAAAATTATTTTAAATTAAGGAACCATCATGTTGAAAAAAAATTCTGACTATTTAAAAGAAGAATATTAACTGAGCGCTGATTTTAGTGCTGGACAACACAATGAAATCCCTGTATTTTTTTATTGCATCATTTCATTTTACCATACAAAAGTGATGCAAGAGACATGCAGATAACAAAGTCTTAAAATTATTTTGGGAAATTATCTTAACAGTATTCAACTTCTTTCAAATATTGATTGATAACGAAGGAGAAAACTAGAATACCTGCATGCAGTGATAATTCTTTTTAATACACCATCTTAAAGGAAAGTTAAGCTGTTGACATTTCCCAAAAATGACAAACAGCAATTACAAAATAGTTTATAGTTACTTGTTTACTGACTTTCTAAATCATTTTCCTACATAGAACCCAATGAGAATGTTCATGGCCATAAAATGTTTTCTTTTTTGAATTTTCTTGAAAACTTAGTTAAAAGATTTTTCACTTGGTTTTTCCTCAGTCTATAATTGTAGGCACATTGAGAGGATTTGTAAACATAAGGAATGCAGAGTTAAGTCTTCAATCAAGGAATTTCTTATGTAACAATAATAAAAATAGTATATCTAGAAATGATTTAGCACCACTATATTTTTGTTATTGATATAATCATATCAACTATATGCTTATAATAGTTAATTTCTTATTTATTTATTTATTTATTTATTTTGAGACAGAGTCTCGCTCTTATCATCCAGGCTGGAGTGTAGTGGAGCGATCTTGGCTCACTGCAACCTCTGCCTCCCCACTTCAAGTGATTCTCCTGCCTCAGCCTCCCGAATAGCTGGGATTACAGGCACCCACCACCATGCCTGACTAATTTTTTGTATTTTTGGTAGAGATGGGGTTTCACCATGTTGGCCAGACTCGTCTCAAACTCTTGACCTTAAATGATTCTCCCACTTCGGCCTCCCAATGTGGTGCTTAGATTACATGCGTGAGCCATCACGCCCAGCCAATAGTTAATTTTTAATATGTAAAATAATGATTCATTTTTAACACAAATGTAGATAAAAGTAAATTTTATTTTATTTTATTTTATTTTTTTGAGACGGAGTCTCGCTCTGTCGCCCAGGCTGGAGTGCAGTGGCGCGATCTCGGCTCACTGCAAGCTCCGCCTCCCGGGTTCACGCCATTCTCCTGCCTCAGCCTCCCGAGTAGCTGGGACTACAGGCGCCCGCTACCACGCCCGGCTAACTTTTTGTATTTTTTTTTTAGTAGAGACGGGGTTTCACCGTGTTAGCCAGGATGGTCTCGATCTCCTGACCTCGTGATCCGCCCGCCTCGGCCTCCCAAAGTGCTGGGATTACAGGCGTGAGCCACCGCGCCCGGCCAAAAGTAAATTTTAAATAATAGATATAGAGTGAACTTAAATGTTCAGAAAAGGCTACAGGATAAAATGAAGCCAAGTTGGATTTCATTAGGGGATAAAATTTCTCCTTTTGGAGACAATATATGCAAAGATAAGATAAGACTACTCAGTTGATAGGAACAACATTCATTCTGGTGAGTACCGTGTGATAGGAAGAAATAGTGTTGCAAAAACCGAATTTGGAGCATAAGAGCCAGCATAAAGAGAATGGATCTTATTCTTTAAAAAGCCTTTAGAAAAACTCGTAAAATACGCACACACACACACACACACACACACACACACACACACAAAAGATACGCTGCAGTCATTGACACAGACTCCTTATTTTTATTAAAAGTAATGTCCAGCCCGGGCACGGTGGCTCATGCCTGTAATCCCAGCAGTTTGGGAGGCCGAGGCTGGCAGATCACTTGAGGTCAGGAGTTTGAGACCAGCCTGGTCAACATGGTGAAACCCTGTCTCTACTAAAAATACAAAAATTAGCTGGGTGTCATGGCACATGCCTGCAATCCCAGCTACTCGGGAGGCTGAGACAGGACAATCGCTTGAACCCAGGAGGCGGAAGTTTCAGTGAACCAAGATTGTGCTGCTGCACTCCAGCCTGGGCGACAATGCAAGACTCTGTCCAAAAAAAAACAAAACAGAAAAGAAGAGAAGAGAAGAGAAGAAAAAGAAAGAAAGAGAAAAAGAAAAAAAAGTAATGTTCAGAAACACATAGCTGAAAAATTAAATAAAACATTCTTACTAACTAAATTCAGCCAAAGAAAAATGCAAAAATCTTCTAAACAGAAATGCCAATATTCAGGATATATGTAAAGCTACACATATACACACATACAAACCTTCTTTGAGGAAGAGACATAAAAATAACCAAAGAAGAAAGATAATCAGCAAATTAAATACACGGGCAAATTTATACTTCCAAAACAGCATGTGACAGTGCAGCCAGAAATGCATTTCTACATAAGCATATTTAAAGCATTCAGTAAAATGGTTTATGACTCATTACACAGTATAGTACTAAACATGTTATAAACAAGCAAACAGAAAATGTAGAAATGAAAAAAGTAGGCATGAATTTTAAGTAGAGAAACTAATTTTAAGTAAACTAAAATTAATATGTTAACACATATTAATTATATTAAATTAAAGATTTTAAATATATTAAGTAATCACAAATTACATAGAATACAGTACATAAAATGGAGATAGAGAAAGCACACAAAAGAGGTTAATGGAAGTAAGATAAAATGGAAAACTTCAACCAGGTCTAGTAGGAGTTCCTGAAAGAGGAATAGCAGATGAGCACAGTTAGCAGAGACAGTAGTCAAGAAAACAGGGAGCCGGGCACATTGGCTCATGCCTGTAATCCCAGCACTTTCGGAGGCCGATGCAGGCGGGTCATGAGGTCGGGAGTTCAAGACCAGCCTGGCCAACATAGTGAAACCCTGTGTCTACTAAAAATACAAAAAAATTAGTCAGGACGTGGTGGCGGGCACCTGTAATCCCAGCCACTTAATCGCTTGAACCTGGGAGGCGGAGGTGCAGTGAGTCAAGATTGCACCACCCTACTCCACACTCCAGCCCAGAAGACAGTGCGAGACTCCGTCTAAACAAAAAAAAAGAAAAAATAAAAGAAAGAAAGAAAAAAATAGGGAGGGAGAAATTCTTTCACATGCTTTGGCAATCTAACATTTAATATTTCTGCACTATTGGTTGCCTTGGTTACATAATTGGCAGCTCAATGGGATAGAGCTACCTAGATTAAGGAAGTCTTCAACATAAGTATAGGGTGAAAGATTATTTTTAATGAAAACTTCACCTTTAAATTTTAAATGTTTAGCTTTCAATTTTCTCTAAATATTAATTTTAAATGTTATTCTCCTGTGCTTAGGAACCAATCTGATAGTGACTCTTTGAGAAGAACCTGTCCTGGGTTTTTTGTTTCTTTTCTTAAATTAATTGTTTTTTATTTTTTGTGGTTATATAGTAGGCATATATATATTTATGGGACATGTGATATTTTGATACAGGCATATACTGAATAAGAACCACATTAGGGTAAATGGTTAATCACCTGAAGCATTTATCATTTATTTGCATTCTAAACATTTCAATTATTCTCTTTTAGTTATTTTTAACTTTACAATAACTTATTATCAACTGCAATTACTCTGTTGTGCTATCAATAAATAGATCTTATTTATTCTATTTAACTATAATTTCGTACTCATTAACCATCCTCACTTCTGCCCAGCCTGCACTACACTCCCCAGCCTCTGGTAACTATCATTGTATTATCTGTCTTTATGAGTTAAATTATTTTAACTTTTAGCTCTCTCAAATAAGTGAAAATATAGGAAGCTTGTCTGTATGTGCCTGGCTTATTTCACTTAATTTAAGGCCCTTCAGTTCCTTCCACGTTGTTGCAAATGACAGGATCTCATTATTTTTATGACTGAATAAGTACTCCATTACATATATGTGCCGTATTTTCTTTATTCGTTCATCAGTTGATGGAAACTTAAGTTGATTCCAAATCTTGGTTATTGTAAACAGTGCTGCAATAAACATGGGAGTGCTGATACCTCTTCGATATACTGATTTTATTCCTTTGGGGTAAATATCTACCAGTGAGGTTGTTGGATCATATGTTCGTTATTTTTTTTAGTTTTCTAAGGAACTTTCATACAGTTCTTCATAGTGGCTGTACTAATTTACATTTCCACCAATGGTGTACACAGGTTCCCTTTTCTCCACATTCTTGCCAGCATTTGTTATTGCCTGTCTTTTGGATGAAAGCCATTTTAAATGGGGTGAGATGATACATCATTATTGTTTTGATTTGCATTTTCCTGATGATCAATAATATTGAACACTTTTTCATATTTGGTGGTCTTTTTTATGTCTTCTATTGAGAAATGTCTATTCAGATACTTTGCCCGTTTTTTAATCAGATCATCAGATGTTTCTCCTATAGAATTGTTTGACCTCCTTATGTATTCTGGTTATTAATTCTTTGTCAGATGGATTTTGAGTTGTCTCTTCATCTTGTTGATTGTTTTCTTTCCTGTGCAGAAGCTTTTGAACTTGACATGATCTCAAATGTTCATTTTTGCTTTGATTGCCTCTGCTTCTGAGGTAATAAGAAATATTTTGCTCAAACCAATATCCTAGAGAGTTTCCCTACTTTTCCACTTCAGTAGTTTCACAGTTTGAGGTCTGACAGTTAAAACTTTAATCCTTTTTTGTTTCATTTTTATATGTGGTGAGAGACAGGCACCTAGTTTTATTCTTCTGCATATGAATATTCAGTTTTCCCGGTACCATTTATTGAAGAGACTTGCTTTCCTTAATGTATGTTCTTGACACCTTTGACAAAAATAAGTTCACTCTAGATGTATGGATTCACTTCTAGATTCTCTACTCAGTGTCATTGTTCTATTTGTTTTTATGCCAGTATCACACTGTTTTGAATACTATGGCTATGTCATAAAATTTGAAGTCAGGTTATGTGATTTCTCCAGTTTTACACTTTATCGCTCAGAATGGTTTTAGCTATTCTGAATCTTTTGTGGTTCTGTATAAATTTTAGGATTTCTTTCACTACTGCTGTGAAGAATGTCATTGGCATTTTGATAGGAATTTCACCGAGTCTGTAGATTGCTTAAGGTAATATGGACATTTTAACAATATTAATTTTTCCAATCTATGATCATTGAATATATTTCCTTTTTTCTGTCCTTTTCATTTTCTTGCATCAATATTTTATAGTTTTCATGATAGATATCTTTTAATTCTTTGGTAAAGTTTATTCCTAGACATTTTATTTTCTTGGTAGCTATTGTGAATATAATTACTTTCTTGATTTATTTTGTAGATTGCTCACTTTTTCAAAACAGCTATTTTGAATTCTCTGCCAAAAGGTTCACATGTCTCTGTCACTCCAGGATTGGTCCTCTGGTGCCTTATTTAGTCTGTTTGGTAAGGCCATGGTTTCCAGGATAATCTTAATGCTTGTGGATGTTTGTCTATGTCTGGGCATTGAAGAGTTAGGTATATATTGTAGACCTCACAGTCTAGGCTCCTTTGAACCCATCCTTCCTGGGAAGGCTTTCCAAATATTCAAAGAGAATTCAGTGTAGTGATATAACTCTTTGATCACTTGAGCCATATTTGCATAACGGGTCACCCCAAATCCAGTAACATGTTAGTCTTGCAGAGTGATAGATGTACCATCAACATGGCCTTCGGTAATATCAAAGATATTTATCTGGATTACCAGACAGAGACTCTTCTCTTCCCTTACTTTTCCCCAAACAAATGAAGATTCTCTGTCCCTGCTGAACTGCCTGGAACTGTGGGAGAGTTGATATAAGCAATCCTATGGTCATAACCACTGCGACTGCAATAAGTTAGAGCCAAAGCCAACACAGCACTGGGTCTCACCCAAGACATGGCAACCACTTTCTGGCTACTGCTTATGTTCACTCAAGGCTCAAGTGTTCTTCCATGAGCAGATGGCTAATTCAGCCAAGCCTTATGTCCTCCCTTTCAGTACAGTGAGCTTCTACTTGGGCCAGGGTATGTCCAGAAATGGCATCCAGGAGCCAGCGCCTGAAATTAGGAGCCTTTAGTATTCTCTTGGTGCTCTATTCTATTGCAGCTGAGCTGGTGCCCGAGCCACAAGACAAAGTCATCCTCACTCTTTTCTATCCTTTACTCAAGCAGGAGGAGTCTCTCCCCATTGCCACTACTGCCTCAGACCCACAGCAAGTACTGCCTGGCTACCATTGATGTTCATTTAAGGGCCAAGCCATTTTCAGTCAGTTTGTTGTAGATGCTGCCACACCTGGATATCTCCCTTAAGTGTAGTGGGTTCCCCACTTGCCCACAGCTAAGTCTAGAGATGCTGTCCAGGAGCCACAAATTGGTGGTGATCTCAGGAGCACACTTTGTTCTCCAACTCACTGTGGCTGAGCTGGTTCTCAAGCTGCAAGACAAAGTCCCCTTACTCTTCCCTTTCTTTTTCTCGGGCAGAAAGCATCTCTCCTTGTGTCCACCACAGTTTGTAATATTCTGGATAACACCTAAAGCCAGCATCACACTGGATTGGATCCAAGGGTCATGGCTACTAATACCTGGCTACTATTGGTATTCAAGGCTCAAGGGTTATTTAGGCAGCAGGTGATGTATCCTGCCAGACCTGGGTCCTTCTCTTCAAGGCAGCAAGTTCTCTTCTGGCCCAGGGTAGGTTTACGAATGTCAGCCAGGAGCTAGGGGTGGAAGGAGTCTCAGGACCCTACCTAGTGCCTTATTCTACTGTGGCTGAGCTGGTTTCCAAGTTGCAAAATAAAGCCCTTTTTATTCTCTCCTTTTCTCTACTCAAGAGAAAGTGAAAGAGAAAGGAAGAAGTCTTTCCCAGAACTGTGAGCTGTACTACCCTAGGGTTCAGGGAGGGGTGATGCAGGCACTCCTTTGGTCGCTCCAGCTGGTGTCTCACTATGTTGTGTGTAACCCAAGTCCACCGGTTCCAAGCACAGCACAGCACAAGGATTTGTCAAGGAATTGTAGTACTTTTGGCTTAGACTGACTTTCAAATTTAAGACCCCAGTGCACTTTAGCTCATGGTCATGTGGCCAGCTGGAACTTGGGTTTTGACCACTAGAATGGATGGTTCCCCTGGGGCTAGGGCTGGTATAAATGCTCCCTCCATGGGTGCCAGATAAATTCTGCCCTATGATGCTTTCTGCTGTGACAAGCAGCACTGATTTCCTATGCAAAGTTCCACAATAACTGCAATCTCCCTCCCTCAAGCACACAGATTCTCTCTCTGCACCTCTGCTGGGGCATGGGAAGTGGTGGTGAAGGCAATTCAAGCTTGTCTTGTCTATCCCCTTCAGTGTCTCTTTCCTTGATATGATGTTAAATCCAGGTACTGTGAGTGCTTCCCTGATTTTTGGTTGTTGTGGAGATGTTTTCTTATGTGGATAGTTACTCATTTTGGTGTTCTTGCAGGGAGAATGATTACTGGAAGATTCTATTTGGCCATCTTGTTCTGCTTTCCCCCATTCTGTTTTATAAATACACAATTACCTTAATGTCATTCTGTCCTAATGGGAAATAACAATAGACATCTGGTAAGACACCATAAATTATTGTAATTTAAATAAATAGCAAAGCACAGAGGTTAAATTTGCCAAAATTGTGAGACGAAGATACTTCTTAGATTATTTAGCTCCTCTAAAATCAGCTTGCTGGTATATTCAACATATTTCATTTTAACAGAATTTCTGAAACTTAGATACATAGATAAGTAAAAATATAAATATATAAAAAATCATTTCATTGAAATATAATAGCCTTGAAAAGGGGTTCCACACTTTCTTTATCAAGACTTGATGTGGCTTGTTTTATAATTTCAGTAAGTGTCAGGTGAAGTATCAAGGGATTACAGATATGAGGGGCTGAAACCAGTCAATGTCTTATTTTGGGGACTGGCTTTGTCCAGGCCTCAGAAAATATGGATGGCTGGGTCATGTTGTACTCAACTCTACTTGTTCATTAATTTAACAGCTGGATATGATTGTATTGTTTTGTTGCATTTCAAGTATACACACACACACACACACACACACACACACACACCCATACACAAAGAGATAATAAAAATAAACAAATGAAATAAATTGTGTTTAGTGATAAATGTTATGAATAAAATCACATAGGGTTACACAGTGAATGGTAGGGTGATTTTCGATATATTAAGTTCTATGTTCATGGAAAATCTTTCTAACAAAGGGATAAGAAAAAAATGAATAGAAAGTAAAAAAAAAAGGGGGAGCATAATGTCACACATATCTGGACTTTATTTCCCAGCATACCTTGTAGTTAGTGAAGTTATCTACCTAAATATTGGCCAATGGAATATGAGCAGTAGTGCTGTACACAGTTATCAGGATGAGCACTTCTGGGAAAATACGTCTTTCATATGCTCTTTTTCTGTCTTTTAGCTGAACAGAGAAGTTCTGATTACCTATTGGCCACTGGAATCATGGAAGGGGGAAGAATCATGTGCTTCTGAATGTGTAGATCTCTTTCATCTAATGGAATTGCACCACACCTAAAGCAAGAAACAAACTTTTTGTTACTCTCAGCAACTGATATTTTGGAGTTATTTTATATACCATTTTGCCACGTCAGATAAATACAGATATTAGTGTGTGAACATAGGAAAGTTACTTTATTGTATGTCTCAGTTTTCCCATTTGGAAAGTAGGTGAATGATAGTATATTTCCACAAGATTGTTATGAGGCCTAAATGAATTAATGCCTGTAAAACATATAGATTAGTGTCTGCTACTAAATACATATTACATAACTTTTACTATTTTTGTAGTTTTATTAGAGAAGAGAATTTCTGGATGAGAATGCAGGAAAGACAGAAAGTTTAAGCCTCTATCAAACTTGCTGTGGAATGATGGGTATAATAAGGGAAATAAAGCAAATGAGAGGAGATGAGTTTAATTGTTAAGATTGAAGCCAGGTCTAGGGGAGTCTCATTGACTTAAAATAATTTAAATTTAGTGACAGATTTGAGTATGAACACTTATAGTTTAAAATTACCCATTTCACTTTGGGTGGAGAATGGACTCTTTGGAGGCAAGATTGGGAGCAATAAATCTGATTATGAGATTATTGCAACAATGCAGAAGAAGACAGGAGTGCCTTACCAAATACTTAACACATGTTTTATTTTTCAAATGTTTTGATTAACACAAATTTTATTTGTGATATGTATTATATACTCTATTCTTACAATAAAGTTAGAGATAAGAAAATGTTATTACAAATAATAAGAGAAAATATATTTATATTTATGACAAAGTGAATCATCATGAAGATCCTCATCCTTGTCATCTTCATGTTAAGTAGACTGAGGAGGAGGAGGAAGAAGAGGAGTTGGTATTGTTTTCTCAGAGGTGGCAGAGGAGGAAGAGATGGAGGAGCTGAAAGAGGAGGCAGGAATATGAGGTGTAACGTCACAGAAATACATTGTAATACTCGTCTGACATGTTTGTCTTTATTTTTCCAGAAATATTTCTATATGAACCAATCCTTCTTCTATTGTGTACTTTAGCTTTAGTGCCCATATGATAGAAGGGTCCATGTTATAAAATAAGTCAAAAGCAGTCTTGAATAATCAAAACTCTTCTGTCAGATTGTCTAATGTCCATTTGTTTTCTGGCACTGCCTCTTCCATGTATTCTTCCTCATCATCTGGCACTGTTCTAAAATTCTGTTAGCTCTTGAACTTCTTCAAAATCCATAGTTGAAACACTTCATGACTTCCCACCTTTTTTTCCATACCCACAATTTCATCCATGATTTCCTTGATTGGTTCTCTTGTGAATTCTGTGAAGTCATGCACAATATTTCGACACAATTTTCCCCAGCAGGAATTTATTGATTCGAGCTTGGTGGCTTTAATGGATATTTTTATAACAATGATGGCATTTTCAATGGTGTAATTTGTCCAAACTTTGAGTTTTCATGATGTCCTCTCTTTCAGAGTTCTCTTTATAGCATTGACAATCCTTTCCTTAGAGTCACCTGTGTAAGGAGGTTTTTTTTTTTTTTTTTTTTTTTTTTTTTTGAGACAGAGTTTCACTCTTGTTGCCCAGGCTGCTGCTGTGCAATGGCACGATCTCGGCTCACTGCGACCTCCACCTCCTGGGTTCAAGCAATTCTCCTGCCTCAGCCTCCTGAGCAGCTGGGATTATAGGTATGCGCCACCACGCCTGGCTAATTTTGTATTTTTAGTAGAGACAGGGTTTCTCCATTTTGGTCAGGCTGGTCTCAAACTCCTGACCTCAGGTGATCCGCCTCCTCAGCCTCCCAAAGTGATGGGATTACAGGCGTGAGCCACTGTGCCTGGCCCACATGTGTAATGAGCTTTAAAGGTCTTTATGACCACCTGATCTAGAGCTCTAATTACAGACATTGTGTATGGAAGCAAGTAGACCACATTGACACTTGTGTTGAACTCATGTCATTCTGGGTGACCAGGAGCATTATCCAATATCAAAAGAAATTTAAAAGGTGGTTTATTACTGGCAAGAGGCTCCCTGACTTCAGGGACAAAGCATCAACACAATTAATCCAGAAGAAGTGTTCTCATTGTCCAGGCCTTCTTGTTCTACAGTGAGAAGTCTGGCAGCTAGATCTCTCTCTTTCAAGGCTTGAGGGCTGACTACGTTATGGATAAGGGTGGTACTGATCATAAATCCTACTGCATTTGCACAAAACAGTAAAGTTAACCTTTACATTTTTGCCTTAAATTCTGATGCTTACTTTCAATACCAGTAAATGTTTTTTTGTGGTACTTTTTTTTTTTCCAGAATAGATGACTTTCTTCTGCATTACAAACTTGTCCAGGCAGATATCCTTTCTCTTCAGTGATTTTCTTAATGGTTTCTGTTGCTTTTGGGTCAGCAAAAGCTGCTTATCCTGTTTTCCTGACTTTTATAAAAGCTAAACTTCTTCCTAAAATTATCAAACTGTCTTTTGATGGTGTTAAATTCTCCAGCTTTAGATCCTTGACCTTATTTTTTTGCCTTAAGTTATCATATAATGACTTTGTTTCTTTTCAAAACATATTATAGTCCACAGGTATGCCTTTCTTACAACAATTCCTTACCTGCCTAAAAGCTGAATTTTCAATACCAGACAAAAATGTATTGCATAAAAAAGTACAAGGTTTTGTGCTCGTACTTGCTGTAATGAAGACGTCACAAACTTATTTATTTATTTATTTATTTATTCATTTATTGCAATGGTCCTTACACTGGATTCATTTATCTTAAAATGGTGAACAGCTATAGATGCAGAATTCAATCAATGGTGCATATCAAGCAATTCAACTTTCTCTTGCAGTGTCATTACTTTACTTTTCTCTGCTTCTTCAGAGCACTTACAGCATCACTAGTGGCACTTTCTATGAATCCAATGATTTTAGTCAAAGTTCATGGTATTGCACTAAACACATTGATAAATACATGATACTCATGAGATATTACTTTTTACTACAGCACACAATTTACAGGAGAGACAAATTTTATGTTAAGGGATTAATGTCACACAAGTTTAAACAGATACAACATTTATTACCAATTATTACAGTAGGACAGTATGTACTTCAGTTAATTTTATGCAATTATGATTTCATACTGCATTTTTAAATTTGTTAACATTTCTCTCCACTTCAAAAGGCAATACGTGTCATCTGTGTTTGTAAGTTTTGATGAATTTTAACTTTTTATAGTAGATTTGTGTAAATGATCAAATAGATACATATGACTAGTATCTATGTACATTTTATGCATTCATGACATACTTAACTTTCACATTCCTTTTCAATATTTCTAGGCCACACAGTTTACCTGTGAGATTTTTCAAATTGTTGCAAATACCCAAAAATTCTCCAATAAATTTATTTTAAAAAATCATATATAAGTGTACCTACACAATTTAAACTCACACTTTTCAAGGTCAACTGTAGTTGCCACTGCTCTAGGCTTCATTTTTTCCATCCCTTCTACATTTAACGAGAAAGGCTGGTAAATAATATTAGTCACATAAAAAACATCAACATTTCACAATTTGAAATTGTTGCCAGAGAAAAAAACAACAAAGAACCTGACAGGCAATATTTAACACTTCTTAGATCATATACTTTTGTTACTGAAAATTGACAATCATCTTTGTGGCAAAACTTAGCTAGAGGATCAATCCTGCTTCATTCATTTTTATATAATTTTGATTCCAGTTATTTTATTTTGAAATTATTTACTGATTCAGTGACACTTGGAATTGTTAACCACTGCTAGAAAAATGGCACAAGAAAAAAGTAAAAACAATTTAAAGTTGTATGATTTATCTTATTAATTCCCTGATTCTGTGTCATAATAAGCAGCTCAGATTGATGTCACTTGTGAGAAGACAATAAAAGATTGAGAAGTGGATAAATGGAGAGAGAGAACCAAGCATGTAAGTACACAGGGACAAAAGAAAAGAATACATACGCATCACTGCACAATGCTTACTACGCTAGAACTTAATGTAAGATAAAGGAATTAACTGGAGACACAGCTAAACAGGTTGACAAGCAACAGTTCTAGTAGACCATCTACAATCTTTCTATACATCTGTACACATAAAGATGTCCATCGTACAAAAACTTTAGGTTTGATTTTAGTAGTATGTAACACTTACTAAATACATAGATTTCAGTATATATGTGGATTATGTACTACAAATAAAGAATTCATAATGTTAAAATGTATGAAAAGTAAATGCTTCCAAAACTAGATATATCTCTAATTACATTCAGTTGTAATTATTTACCAATAAATATTGTATCAGAACCATTGCCCATTAACTACATTCCATAAATATAAAACTTTACTCGTTGATTACTCAGCAACTACCTACTCCATACCTGTTACATGGCAGTCCTTCTTTTTATATTGAAGATACTATACTACATAAGGCAGGTATTTTATAGTCATGTATCACTTACAGTCCAATAAAAAATATTAAAAATATTGACATTTTGTAATATATGGGGTACATATGTTGGCATAAAATATTATGTGCCCATAAACTAAATGAGTTGAATAAGCATATACTTTTCCTTTCCCTGAGAATTCTTTAAAGAACAATGATTTTAACTTTCTTCTGAGAAAAATTAAATTTTCTCTTTTTCTATCCTCAATGCCTATATTCACTTTTTCTCTGGCACTAACCTAAAGCCAAGTGCAGGTTCTTTGCTTCACTGACATTTAAGCTCCCATCTTAGATTATATACCTAGAAGACTTAAATAATTTTTTATTTTTAAAAATTGTCAAAACATGAGATTTAATGTATTTAAATATACTAATACAATAACATAAAAATACAATACAATAATATAAATATAATATAAAAATAATATAAATATAATATAAAAAAGGAACTGTATTTTTGCACATACTTTATGGCCTCTATCAGCCAACAAATATTAATTACATAACTATTATGTGCCAGGCACTGCTTTTATATGCAGGTATAACAACATATTTATCAGCTAAAAGAAGGAATATTATTCTAGGAATAAAGAAAGTATAGAAGGTCTGCTCAAATTAAAGCAGAAGAGAAATAAGACCCATAATAGTCAAGCCACAAATATCAGACACATTTAGTAGATGAATGCCCAACAATAAAATTATAGAATTTTTAATCTCAAAGTATGTTCACTGTAGATACTGGCAAAAATTGACCAAATAATTACAAAACTGAGCAGTAAATAATGTGCTCACAGCTGAAATGGGTTGCCGAGGGAAAATCTAAGATCATGCCAGTACAGCCTATGATTAACCAACATTTCCCAGAGACGTTTATGCATAAGATTAAAAAGAGTCTGTAAAATATTATTTTCTTTAAAGTTAATAATCAAAATTTGATTAAATGATATTTAGAAATGTAAGCACCATTAAGAATTGTACATTACTGTTTTTTAAGTTGAGGGAAGTTCCATACTTTTTAAAAAATTCTCACCCAATGGTGGTAAGCAGAGTGCTTGCTTTATTACATAAATTGATGTATTTTTCTCTCTATGCAGTCCATATTCCTGTGCATACTTTTCCCCTCTGAGAAGAACTTTATACAGCACTTTATACAATATAACATAGGGAAGAAATTGAGAAGTACTCATGAATTTTCAGAATCATTATTTTGGATTGCTAGAACTGTCACAAGAGAATGCCTTTCTAGAGAATGTGGAGGTCTTCCATAGAACTTAGCATATGAGTAATTGGGAAGGCGTTAGTATATTAAAACATTTTAGGTATATAACCAATTCTCAAAGTTACTAAAATTTTTTCATTACATCTAGATATTAAAATTAACTGAAAATATTTGAAAGAAAATGAAATATTTAACAAACTAGAAATATCCAAAAGTTTATATTTTGATTGATATTACATTATACTTAATACAGTATGTCTTTAGAATAATCATAAGGGTAATTTTCCAGTAAACATCCAAGGACATTTCCATATACATGGCTGACTTAGCAGTATGATTTATTTCCCTTGTTTCCACATCTATATTAAACTTTGCCTTCTAGTATTTAAGAACACTGCATAGTTTCCTATACTGGGTTCATTCCGTATGATCTTTGTGATCTTGGGGAAGCTACATAAACTCCTTCATGAAATAAAAGTAATCATTATACTAACCTCATCAAGTTTTAATGGGAATTTTTAAGTCATGTGGATAAAAGCATTTACCACTTTACAGCTCTGCTTGACTCATAGTAAAGTCTTAATTTTTATTTATTTATTATATATTATTATTTTTAATTTATTTCATTTTATTATTATTATTTTTTGAGACAGAGTCTAGCTCTGTCGCCAGGCTGGAGTGCAATGGTGCAGTCTTGGCTCACTGCAACCTCTGCCTCCTGGGTTCAAGCAATTCTCCTGCCTCAGCCTCCCGAGTAGCTGGGACTACAGGCACCTGCCACCGCACCTGGCTAATTATTTTTGTATTTTTAGTAGAGACAGGGTTTCACCAACCTGGCCAGGCTGGTCTTGAACTCCTGACCTCGTGATCCACCCGCCTCGGCCTCCCATAGTGCTGGGATTACAGGCGTGAGCCACCGCGCCCGGCCAGGTCTTAATTTTTATAGATGTATTGGTTAAAAATAAACCTATTCACTTTCTCTCAGACAAAACAGTAGCTTAAGCATTTAAGATAAATTAGACCAATAGTTTTCAATTAAATACGTGAATTTGATACACATAGATAATTTTATTTTAATGTAGACAAACTGGGCCTGCCTCGGACAAACTGTTTTTAATTGCAGCCCCAAAGTTAACGACTATTAACCTAGATAATTTCTTGACCCTCAGGCTTATCTTTAATGTCCATGATCATGGAAATAGAAATGGAGAGACAATAACTATAGTCAAATACATGGTTTTTTTTCCTGAATCTCCTTCTTTATTCTTTCTTCTTAGAAATTACTTTCTAAAGTAATATTTTTACATGTAAATTGAGCAATTACAAATATGCATGTATTTTCCTGATATCTACAGTTAGTGTGCTATAGTGAAAAGATTGACTTTAAATAGACTGATCTAATTCCAGCTTCACCAGGTATTAACAATATTCTATCTTCTTCTTGGACTTCAGGATTCTCAAGATTAAAATTTGAAAATCTATGGATTTGAAGAATTGTATTCAATGACAAATGTAACATACCATGTTTAGAACCATTCTTGTCTATAGTAGCAGTTTAAAGGCACTAGTAGTAGCATTTCCCCTTCTCATTTTATCTTTAAATCCAAGCCTATCTCTTCTGTATATAATTGGTAAATGCTTTCTTGAGTTTGAAGTTATGAAGACCTCACAGGGTTATTGTAGCAAATTAAACAATATATAAAAATGTTATTTTTAAAAGCAGTAAACCATTTTAAAAACAAAGGTTGCTACTGTAACCTTTCTGCGATTCAGTCCTATATATATATTTGCATTTGGAAAAATAAGATTCCATAAACAATTACAAAGCACCAGTCACATTTAAAACTAAATTTATATCTATATCTATATCTATATCTGCAAAATGCAATAGTCTCTATCTTCCCTTACCTTCTTGACTGATATTTTTAGGATCCCAGTAGTAAATATTTTTTTCTGAGTCTTTCAACAAAAGAAACAGATGAGATTCAATATCTCATCACTTTCAAAAAGTACTGGATAGATAAGCATGCGTTAGTTTCTTTAACATGTATTACATACTTCTTATTTTTAAACTAGCGTTCTAAATAAAAATAAGTTTGTACAACCTATTAGGCTTATTTCTCCAAGGGCATAAAAAATTAGAGTTATAATTTGTAATAGTCCCTCATGGAAAGTTGCTGAGAGTGGTATCCAACAGGCAATGTACTGTAGTTAATGAAAGGTCTATGCTAATTTTGTTTCCAATTCAGCTTATTCTTTACAGAAGAAAAATAAAATAATATATAAAATACAGATGTCTTCACATAGTCCCAGCTCTTTTAAAAACCAACAAAGCATCAATCTAAAAACTAAAAAAAGAAAAAAATGATTACAATTCTGTGGACATAATGGGGAGCTTATAATGTTTGTATTTAAAAATGAATATAATAAGAGTAAAATTATTCTGTCTTTCATGGGAAATGAATAGGTGACTATTTACAAGAAATATTTGTACATTTGGGGAATAATTTATCTTCTGAAAATAAAGGCAATAAAAGAAAAGAATGACAAAGCATTAGATTTACTCCATGGCACATTCTAATTATTTAGTTAATAGTAGTACCTGAAAAGAAACATATGATCATCCAAAAAATCCAAATAGAGATACTTTTCTGGTTACTGAAGAAAATTTTATTGATTAGATTTTAAATACACTTTATATTAACTGCATGATATAATGATGTATAATTATATAAGGCATTTCAAAAAATAAAAAGACTTTATCATAGGTGATTACAATAAAGACAAGGAAAGAATCTTCATCAGTCGTTTATTTATCAATTTCAAATTCTTTGGTATTTTGACAGGATATATTAACCAGACAACTTCTGTTTAGGAGGAAAATCAAGGGCAATGAATGAGGTAAGGACCATTCTTTGACATACTTTCTCTAGCCTTGGTTCCTACTGTACTATTTTTTGGCTTGTCTTTAATTCTATTTGAGATCTTGAAATATTTTCTCCACAACGAAGATATTTATCATATCATCTCCACCTTCCATGTGAATAACTGAATTTTCTTTATTGTCCCCTCCCTCATTGGCTGTTAGCTACCAGATAGAGATCTGAACTTTCTATTTAATTTTACATATGGTCCATTTGCCATTGCTAAGACCCTGTCTATCCATATATGAGTAACTTTTACATTTCTACTGTCTTCACCATCTGTTCATCCATTCCTTTAATCATTCACTGTCTTAGTTTGAGCTATTATAGCAAAGTATCACAGAATGGACAGTTAATAAACAACAACAAATAAATATCTTTCACAGTTCCGAAAGCTAGAAGTCCAAAATGCTAAGACCAGTGTGGCTGGGTCATGGCCTTCTTCCTGTTTGCAGACTGCCAGCTATTCATTGTGTCCTCATATATATTTTCTATTTTCTTGCAAAAAGAGAGCAAGCTGGATCTCTTGCCTCTTCTTGCAAGACTAATCCCGTTCATGAGTTTTCCACACTCATGACCTAATTATCTCCTAAAGGCTCTACCTCCTAATACCACATATTGGGGGTTAAAATTTCAACATATGAATTTGTATGGGACACAACATTTAGTTCATAATATTCACCCAATAAATATTAATTTAATTCTTAAATGTTGTATGCAGATCAACGGAGTCTATCTCAATTTCTCTCCGTCATGGATAGAAAAATCTTTCTCTTCTCTACAGATATTTTAAAATATTTCACGTGTTAAGGTTCTTTTCCATGAGTCTAGTACCAAGCTGTTTTGGTTACTGTAGAGTTGTAGTATAGTTTGAAGTCAGGTAGCATGATGCCTCCAGCTTTGTTCTTTTTGCTTAGGATTGTCTTGGTTCTTTTTTGGTTCCAAATGAAGTTTAAAGTAGTTTTTTTTTTCTAATTCTTTGAAGAAAGTCAACGGTATCTTGATGGGAATAGTATTGAATCTATAAATCACTTTGGGCAGTATGATATTTTTCACGATACTGATTCTTCCTATCCATGAGCATGGAATGCTTTTCCATTTGTTTGTGTCCTCCCTTATTTCCTTGAGCAATGGTTTGTAGTTCTCTTTGAAGAGGTTCTTCACATCCCTTGTAAGTTGTATTCCCAGGTATTTTGTTTTCTGCGCAGCAATTGTGAATGGGGATTCACTCATGATTTGGCTCTCTGTTTTTCTATTATTGGTGTATAGGAATGCTTGTGATTTTTACACATTGATTTTGTATCCTGAGACTTTGCTGAATTTGCTTATCAGCTTAAGGAGTTTTTCGTCTGATATGATGGGGATTTCTAAATATACAATCATATCATCTACAAACAGAGATAATTTGACTTATTCTCTACCTATGTGAATACACTTTATTTCTTTCTCTTGCCTGATTGCCCTGGCCAGAACTTCCAATACTGTGTTGAATAGGAGTGGAGAGAGAGGGTATCCTTGTCTTCTGCCAGTTTTCCAAGGGAATGCTTCCAGCTTTTGCCATTTCAGTATGATACTGGCTGTGAGTTTGTCATAAATAACTCTTATTTTGAGATACGTTCCATCAATACCTGGTTTATTGATAGTTTTTTAGCATGAAGCGGTGTTAAATTTTATTGAAGGCCTTTTCTGCATCTATTGAGATAATCATGTTTTTTTTTGTCATCAGTTCTGTTTATGTGATGGATTACATTTATTATTTTGCGTATGTTGAACCAGCCTTCTATCCCAGGAATGTAGCCGTCTTGACTGTGGTGGATAAGCTTTTTAATGTGCTGCTGGATTCAGTTTGCCAATATTTTATTGAAGATTTTTGCATTGATGTTCATCACGGACATGGGACTAAAACTTTCTTTTTTTGTTGTGTCTCTGCCAGGTTTTGGTATCAGGATGATGCTGGCTTCAGAAAATGAGATAGGAAGAAGTCCTTAGGGACCAATGGAACAGAACAGAACACTCAGAAAAATAACACCACACATCTACAACCATCTGATCCTTGACAAACCTGACAAAAACAAGCAATGGGGAAATAATTCCCTATTTAATAAATGGTGTTGGGAAAACTGGCTAGCCATATGCAGAAAACTGAAACTGGGACACTTCCTTAACACCTTATATGAAAATTAACTCAAGATGCATTAAAGACTTACATGTATGACATAAAACCATAAAAACCTTACAAGAAAACCTAGGCAATATCATTCAGGACATAGGCATGGGCAAAGATTTCATGACTAAAACACCAAAAGCAATTGCAGCAAAAGCCAAAATTGACAAAGGGGATGTAATTAAACTAAACAGCTTCTACACGGCAAAAGAAACTATCATCAGCGTGAACAGGCAACATACAGAATGGGAGAAAATTTTTGAAATCTATCAATCTGACAAAGGGCTCATATGCAGAATCTACTGTGAACTTAAATTTACAAGAAAAAAGCAAACAACCCCATCAAAAACTGGGCAAAGGATATCTACAGACACTTCTCAAAGAAGACATTTATGCAGCCAACAAACATAAAAAAAAGCTCATCATCATTGGTCATTAGAGAAATGCAAATCAAAACCACAATCAGATACCATCTCACGCCAGTTAGAATGGTGATCATTAAAAAGTCAGGAAACAACAGATGCTGGAGAGGATGTGGAGAAATAGGAATGCTTTTATACTGTTGGTGGGAGTGTAAATTAGTTCAACCATTGTGGAAGACAGTGTGGAGATTCATCAAGGATCTAGAATCAGAAATACCATTTGACCCAGCAATCCCAATACTGGATATATACCCAAAGGAGTATAAATCATTCTACTATAAAGACACATGCATACAAACGTTTACTGCAACACTGTTCACAATACCAAAGACTTGGAACAAACCCAAATGCTCATCAATGATAGACTGGATAAAGAAAATGTGGCACATATACACCATGGAATATTATGCAGCCATAAAAAAGGAGGAGTTCATGTTCTTTGCGGGAACATGGATGAAGCTGGAAACCATCATTCTCAGAAAACTAACACAGAAACAGAACAGCAAACACCACATGTTCTCACTCATACACGGGACTTGAACAATGAGAACACATGGACACTGGGAGTGGAACATCACACATCAAGGCCTCTTGAGGGGTTGGAAGCAAGGAGAGGGAGAACATTAGGCCAAATACCTAATGCATGCTAGGCTTAAAACCTAGATAATGGGTTGATGGCTGCAGCAAACTACGATGGCACATGTATACCTACATAAAAAACCTGCACGTTCTGTACATGTATCCCAGAACTTAAAGTATAATAATAAAAAAAAAGTTTCACGTGTAAAGGTTCTTGTGATTAATACTGCTTTTATTTTAATTTTCTATTGTCACTTAATATTTTTCCACTGTAAGCTGATTTTTTTACTATATGCTGAAAATTACACTATGCAAATACATGATAACATATTCTGAAATATGATCAAGAGAGTATTAAAATAGCATTTAAATAGTATCCTAGGACAACTCAGACAGATATTGAAAGAAAATGTACCTGTATTAGAAAGAGCATCTTTCTGAATGGTGGGGCAATAATGAGGATAAGTGGAAGTTTATTCCTGATGCTGATATTGAGTAAAGACTAAAATAATAAAAATAAGGAATTTATACTCAATTCACAGAATTTCTAATTGTTATATGCACTGGTAATGTTAGTGTATCTTTGCTTACAACAAGTTAATAAAAATGTATTGAAAATATAAAAGAAAATCCTATGAAATTAAAGAAATATGAAATAATCAGATATTTAGGAGGCTAGAAATAAAAATAATTCTGGATTTAGACACATAGACAGTAATAGATTGCTTCTTTAGGTTTCTGATTACCTAGCTCCATATTTTCTGTGTCAATACATAGATGATTTGAATTTCTGGGAGTAAAACCCTGGCTCAGTTTGTTCTGGGTTGTTTGCAGTTTGCATTTTTAGTCATAACACATTTTGAGCAAAGGGAGTTATTTCAAGCATTTGGAAGGGCTAAATGATTTGTATCCACACATTGTGGTATTGTTTGAGAAATACTTAATTTTGGGATTTAAAAATTAAGAGTTCTGAGGTTAACTACGCAATCCTATTCAATTTAAATATGCTAATACTGTTTGAAAACAATTAAATCACTTGCCCACAGCCACACAAGTGTTTAAAAAAAAGGCAGAAATAGATTTTACATTTTGGAAATTTTAATTTTTATTGGCTTTTCTCTCTCCTCCCCCAACTCTCTTCCTCCTCCTTCTGCTCCTCCTCCTCCTCTTCCTCCTTTTTTCTCCTCCTCTTCCTCTTCGTCATCTAGATTTAATTATTTCAACTTTCACTTCTGACTAATACAGAGTCCTGAAATATTAGAATTGCTAAAGATATTTCTTTCCCCAACTGCTAGATAGAGGTAGAATGTAAATGTGGATGTGCAGGGAGTTATTTGAAAGAAAGACATGATATAGAACCTATATACCTTGTTCGGGAAAACTCATAAGCTTGATGATAGAAGCACCTCATCTTAGGAAATGGGGGCAGCCTAATGAAATTGAGCTTTGGAATCAAATAAAGCTGCCTAAAATGAAATGTCTGCCATCTAGTTCATCAAGTTGTTTAAACTGTGTGAGACTCAAAAAATCATTTTAAAAATGATTCATCTTCTATTTATTGGACAGATTATTGGGAACAATGCATGCAAAGCATTTTGCATATTATTTGGAGTATAGACAAATAAAAATAATTCTAGCAATGTTACAATAATTATTATTTTCTATTGTTAAAACAACATTTGCATTAGCTTATCTTCTTATATACAGAATTAGCAGCTACTACTTTTATGTGCATTTCTGATTAATGAAACAGTAATACAAGAATGGAATGGTGATTTAGCTGGCACTTATAGTAAAGGTTATGCTTATATCTGGTACCTTTTAGGTTCATATAGGTAAATTTTGTTGTTCCATGTATATATAACGCAACTCTTAAACACGTATAGCATATGTGCAGATATGCACATACATATATAACCATCTCATACATTATGCATAGATCATATTAATGACAAATTCAGCCTTTAGAAATGCACTCTTTCCTAAGTATTAGAAAATTCTAATATAATAGCAAACCATAGGCGAGTATCAGACTGATGAAATAAACTGTCTACAGGGAACATTCAAAGCTGAGACTGCTGCTGAAAAACCTAGACCAAAAGTCTTTTAGAGGTCCAATTCTTCATTAATGTATTGTTTTTCTGATTCATATCACATCCTGTTTATGAGATAGCTGTTATAACATGAGCTAAATTTTCTGTGTCAATACACAGAGGATTTGAATTTCTGGGAGTAAAACCCTGGCTCAGTTTGTTCTGGGTTTCTGAAGTTCACATTTTTAGTCATAATACATTTTGAGCAAAGGGAGTGATTTCAAGTATTTGGAAAGGCAAAATGATTTGTATCCACACATGTCATATCTTCATGTTAGAAGGACAGAAACAAAATGTTACACGAAGCAATACCAGCAGGTTTGTTTTCTTCTCATTGGTCTGAACTGTGTTATGCCTACATTTATCTACAGGGGAGCTTGGGAAATCCAGTGTAGTATACATAGGAAAGCAGACAAAATTTTAAAAGGACAATGAGTTAATGTACAAAATGAGCCACAGCAGCAAATCAATATTAAAATTTATTATAATTGAATAAACTAGTGTTGAAATTTATTAAAATTAAAATAATACTAAAATATTAATTTATATTGAAATAATTGGAAGCTTCTAATGTCATACTTGTTTTAGATTGTAAACACTTAGAAGTGAAAGACAAACACGTTTCCCTTGATGAATTTTATTTGGACTTATACGTATATTAAATTCTCTTTGAAGATAAAAAATTAAAAAGACACTTCTCAAAAAAAGACACTTATGTGGCCAACAAACACATGAAAAAAAGCTCATCATCAATGGTCATTAGAGAAATGCAAATCAATACTACAATGAGATACTATCTCACACTAGTTAGAATGACGATCATTAAAAAGTCAGGAAACAGTTGCTGGAGAGGATGGTGGAGAAATAGGGATGCTTTTACACTGTTGGTGGGAGTGTAATTTAGTTAAACCATTGTGGAAGACAGTGTGGCGATTTCCCAAGGATCTAGAACCAGAAATGCCATTTGAACCAGCAATCCCATTACTGGGTATATACCCAAAGTTTGTAAATCATTCTACTATAAAGACACATGCACACGTGTGTTTATTGCAGAACTATTCACAATAGCAAAGACTTGGAACCAACCCAAATGCCCAACAATGATAGACTGGATAATGAAAATGTGGCACATATACACCATGGAATACTATGCAACCATAAAAAAGGATGAGTTCATGTCCTTTCCAGGGACATGGATGAAGCTGGAAACCTTCATTCTCAACAAACTAACACAGGAACAGGAAACCAAACTGCAAGTTCACACTCATAAGTGGAAGTGAACAATGAGAACACATGGACACAGAGAAGGGAACATCACACACTGGGGCCTGTCAGGGGCTAGGGGGCTAGCAGAGGGCTAGCATTAGGAGAAATACCTAATGTAGATGACGAGTAGGTGGGTGCAGCAAACCACCAAGGCACATGTATACAGACATAACAAACCAACATGTTGGGTACATGTATCCCTGAAATTAAAGTATAATTTCAGAAAAAGTTAATAGATTGATTGTATTCCATTACATTTTGAAGAAGGTACACATTCTTAACAGATAATAAAAATGACAGCTTTTTCTCTGTATTATTATTATTATGTTTTAATTTATACGTGCTTAAGGAAAAAAGACAAATTAATGTAGCAGAATTTGAGCAAAGAATGGTTCATGAACTAGGCATCAATCAGAACCAGAAAAGGGTCAACAAACTCTATTCAACAGTGGGAACAGAGATGTTTCATAAACCCAACACAAAAGCAAAATAAATAAATCACCTGATTGGCTACGCTAGGAATCTGCGTTACTTGGTCATGGTGGGATGAGGCATTTGCCTTAATGGGCATTGCATGATGAATTGGCTGCCTATAATTGACTGAAGCTCACCTGCTTGTGACTAGGTGAAACTCAGTTGTTGGTTATACTCCTAAGTTAGGTGTCAGTTTGTTTACATACTCAGTTATCTTTTATTTCACTGTATAGGGATTTATGTACGAAGGCAGCCTCAGGCCAAATTTAAGTTAATTTGACAATTTGTTCCTTTTGGTCAGTCTTTCAGTTTTGAGAGATTGACCAAAAATTTGGGCATTGATGCCAGTCTCTGTCATCATCATAATGGGCTTGCTTGGTCTCAGTGTGGAATTCACAGTTCATGATGTTAGGTCAATATGACCACTTTACAGTATCTTGCTCTAACGACAGAGAGACCATGTGACACACTGTGGATGGCTGCACGCAAACATCTATGACATTTGAGAGAATATAGCACAATAGTGAGACTACTGTAATGACTTTCGGCAGGATAATACCAAGAGACTAAAATGTGCTTCTTAATAGGAGCCTATATGAACAAAATTAATTAAAATAATATAGATACAAAATGAGCCAGAAGACAAATCTAGTTATGATCAAATAGTTTGTTTGTAATTTCTTGCAACTGAGTCTCCAGCATATCAGACATATTTATCAAACTGCAGCAAGAAGTGTAGGCTATCACATACACCCACCAAAAGGTAGTCCAAAGCAATCTTCTTATCTAAAACAACGTTAGCAAAAGAATTTAAAGAAGCGTTCTGGATAGCTATAGCCTTTGCAGTAGAATCAGCTATACAGTTGCTAATGTTTGAGACAGTTCTGTAATAATAACTTCATTTGCATTTATGCTGATCCAGAGAAACAACATTCTACCAAAAGGTGGTCATTTAGAGGACTTTATTCTTGCTGGCAAATTCCTCTTTATTCCACAGTGCAAAATAGGAGGTAAATTTCAATGTTCAGTTCCAACTGGTAGTTGAGTGACAGTGGTACCCTTAGAATCCATAATCTACATTTGCCCCTTATTTTTCACTTAAGAAGACATGAAGTTGCCCATACATGTGGTTAATTGTTAAATCCACCACAAATAAAAATATACCCTCGGAGCCAAGATGGCCGAATAGGAACAGCTCCGGTCTACAGCTCCCAGCGTGAGCGACGCAGAAGACGGGTGATTTCTGCATTTCCATCTGAGGTACCGGGTTCATCTCACTAGGGAGTGCCAGACAGTGGGCGCAGGCCAGTGTGTGTGCGCACCGTGCGCGAGCCGAAGCAGGGCGAGGCATTGCCTCACCTGGGAAGCGCAAGGGGTCAGGGAGTTCCCTTTCCGAGTCAAAGAAAGGGGTGACGGACGCACCTGGAAAATCGGGTCACTCCCACCCGAATATTGCGCTTTTCAGACCGGCTTAAGAAACGGCGCACCACGAGACTATATCCCACACCTGGCTCAGAGGGTCCTACGCCCACGGAATCTCGCTGATTGCTAGCACAGCAGTCTGAGATCAAACTGCAAGGCGGCAACGAGGCTGGGGGAGGGGTGCCCACCATTGCCCAGGCTTGCTTAGGTAAACAAAGCAGCAGGGAAGCTCCAACTGGGTGGAGCCCACCACAGCTCAAGGAGGCCTGCCTGCCTCTGTAGGCTCCACCTCTGGGGGCAGGGCACAGACAAACAAAAAGACAGCAGTAACCTCTACAGACTTAAGTGTCCCTGTCTGACAGCTTTGAAGAGAGCAGTGGTTCTCCCAGCACGCAGCTGGAGATCTGAGAACGGGCAGACTGCCTCCTCAAGTGGGTCCCTGACACCTGACCCCCGAGCAGCCTAACTGGGAGGCACCCCCCAGCAGGGGCACACTGACACCTCACATAGCAGGGTATTCCAACAGACCTGCAGCTGAGGGTCCTGTCTGTTAGAAGGAAAACTAACAACCAGAAAGGACATCTACACCGAAAACCCATCTGTACATCACCATCATCAAAGACCAAAAGTAGATAAAACCACAAAGATGGGGAAAAAACAGAACAGAAAAACTGGAAACTCTAAAACGCAGAGCGCCTCTCCTCCTCCAAAGGAACGCAGTTCCTCACCAGCAACAGAACAAAGCTGGATGGAGAATGATTTTGACGAGCTGAGAGAAGAAGGCTTCAGACGATCAAATTACTCTGAGCTACGGGAGGACATTCAAACCAAAGGCAAAGAAGTTGAAAACTTTGAAAAAAATTTAGAAGAATGTATAACTAGAATAACCAATACAGAGAAGTGCTTAAAGGAGCTGATGGAGCTGAAAACCAAGGCTCGAGAACTACGTGAAGAATGCAGAAGCCTCAGGAGCCGATGCGATCAACTGGAAGAAAGGGTATCAGCAATGGAAGATGAAATGAATGAAATGAAGCGAGAAGGGAAGTTTAGAGAAAAAAGAATAAAAAGAAATGAGCAAAGCCTCCAAGAAATATGGGACTATGTGAAAAGACCAAATCTACGTCTGATTGGTGTACCTGAAAGTGATGTGGAGAATGGAACCAAGTTGGAAAACACTCTGCAGGATATTATCCAGGAGAACTTCCCCAATCTAGCAAGGCAGGCCAACATTCAGATTCAGGAAATACAGAGAACGCCACAAAGATACTCCTCGAGAAGAGCAACTCCAAGACACATAATTGTCAGATTCACCAAAGTTGAAATGAAGGAAAAAATGTTAAGGGCAGCCAGAGAGAAAGGTCGGGTTACCCTCAAAGGAAAGCCCATCAGACTAACAGCGGATCTCTCGGCAGAAACCCTACAAGCCAGAAGAGAGTGGGGGCCAATATTCAACATTCTTAAAGAAAAGAATTTTCAACCCAGAATTTCATATCCAGCCAAGCTAAGCTTCATAAGTGAAGGAGAAATAAAATACTTTATAGACAAGCAAATGCTGAGAGATTTTGTCACCACCAGGCCTGCCCTAACAGAGCTCCTGAAGGAAGCGCTAAACATGGAAAGGAACAACCGGTACCAGCCGCTGCAAAATCATGCCAAAATGTAAAGACCATCGAGACTAGGAAGAAACTGCATCAACTAATGAGCAAAATCACCAGCTACCATCATAATGACAGGATCAAATTCACACATAACAATATTAACTTTAAATATAAATGGACTAAATTCTGCAATTAAAAGACACGGACTGGCAAGTTGGATAAAGAGTCAAGACCCATCAGTGTGCTGTATTCAGGAAACCCATCTCACGTGCAGAGACACACATAGGCTCAAAATAAAAGGATGGAGGAAGATCTACCAAGCCAATGGAAAACAAAAAAAGGCAGGAGTTGCAATCCTAGTCTCTGATAAAACAGACTTTAAACCAACAAAGATCAAAAGAGACAAAGAAGGTCATTACATAATGGTAAAGGGATCAATTCAACAAGAGGAGCTAACTATCCTCAATATTTATGCACCCAATACAGGAGCACCCAGATTCATAAAGCAAGTCCTGAGTGACCTACAAAGAGACTTAGACTCCCACACATTAATAATGGGAGACTTTAACACCCCACTGTCAACATTAGACAGATCAACGAGACAGAAAGTCAACAAGGATACCCAGGAATTGAACTCAGCTCTGCACCAAGCAGACCTAATAGACATCTACAGAACTCTCCACCCCAAATCAACAGAATATACATTTTTTTCAGCACCACACCACACCTATTCCAAAATTGACCACATAGTTGGAAGTAAAGCTCTCCTCAGCAAATGTAAAAGAACAGAAATTATAACAAACTATCTCTCAGACCACAGTGCAATCAAACTAGAACTCAGGATTGAGAATCTCACTCAAAGCCACTCAACTACATGGAAACTGAACAACCTGCTCCTGAATGACTACTGGGTACATAACGAAATGAAGGCAGAAATAAAGATGTTCTTTGAAACCAACGAGAACAAAGACACCACATACCAGAATCTCTGGGACGCATTCAAAGCAGTGTGTAGAGGGAAATTTATAGCACTAAATGCCTACAAGAGAAAGCAGGAAAGATCCAAAATTGACACCCTAACATCACAATTAAAAGAACTAGAAAAGCAAGAGCAAACACATTCAAAAGCTAGCAGAAGGCAAGAAATAACTAAAATCAGAGCAGAACTGAAGGAAATAGAGACACAAAAAACCCTTCAAAAAATCAATGAATCCAGGAGCTGGTTTTTTGAAAGGATCAACAAAATTGATAGACCGCTAGCAAGACTAATAAAGAAAAAAAGAGAGAAGAATCAAATGGACACAATAAAAAATGATAAAGGGGATATCACCACTGATCCCACAGAAATACAAACTACCATCAGAGAATACTACAAACACCTCTACGCAAATAAACTAGAAAATCTAGAAGAAATGGATACATTCCTCGACACATACACTCTCCCAAGACTAAACCAGGAAGAAGTTGAATCTCTGAATAGACCAATAACAGGCTCTGAAATTGTGGCAATAATCAATAGTTTACCAACCAAAAAGAGTCCAGGACCAGATGGATTCACAGCCGAATTCTACCAGAGGTACAAGGAGGAACTGGTACCATTCCTTCTGAAACTATTCCAATCAATAGAAAAAGAGGGAATCCTCCCTAACTCATTTTATGAGGCCAGCATCATTCTGATACCAAAGCCGGGCAGAGACACAACCAAAAAAGAGAATTTTAGACCAATATCCTTGATGAACATTGATGCAAAAATCCTCAATAAAATACTGGCAAACCGAATCCAGCAGCACATCAAAAAGCTTATCCACCATGATCAAGTGGGCTTCATCCCTGGGATGCAAGGCTGGTTCAATATACGCAAATCAATAAATGTAATCCAGCATATAAACAGAGCCAAAGACAAAAACCACATGATTATCTCAATAGATGCAGAAAAAGCCTTTGACAAAATTCAACAACCCTTCATGCTAAAAACTCTCAATAAATTAGGTATTGATGGGACGTATTTCAAAATAATAAGAGCTATCTATGACAAACCCACAGCCAATATCATTCTGAATGGGCAAAAACTGGAAACATTCCCTTTGAAAACTGGCACAAGACAGGGATGCCCTCTCTCACCACTCCTATTCAACATAGTGTTGGAAGTTCTGGCCAGGGCAATCAGGCAGGAGAAGGAAATAAAGGGTATTCAATTAGGAAAAGAGGAAGTCAAATTGTCCCTGTTTGCAGATGACATGATTGTTTATCTAGAAAACCCCAACGTCTCAGCCCAAAATCTCCTTAAGCTGATAAGCAACTTCAGCAAAGTCTCAGGATACAAAATCAATGTACAAAAATCACAAGCATTCTTATACACCAACAACAGACAAACAGAGAGCCAAATCATGAGTGAACTCCCATTCACAATTGCTTCAAAGAGAATAAAATACCTAGGAATCCAACTTACAAGGGATGTGAAGGACCTCTTCAAGGAGAACTACAAACCACTGCTCAAGGAAATAAAAGAGGACACAAACAAATGGAAGAACATTCCATGCTCATGGGTAGGAAGAATCAATATCGTGAAAAAGGCCATACTGCCCAAGGTAATTTACAGATTCAATGCCATCCCCATCAAGCTACCAATGACTTTCTTCACAGAATTGGAAAAAACTACTTTAAAGTTCATATGGAACCAAAAAAGAGCCCACATCGCCAAGTCAATCCTAAGCCAAAAGAACAAAGCTGGAGGCATCACACTACCTGACTTCAAACTATACTACAAGGCTACAGTAACCAAAACAGCATGGTACTGGTACCACAACAGAGATATAGATCAATGGAACAGAACAGAGCCCTCAGAAATAATGCCACATATCTACAACTATCTGATCTTTGACAAACCTGAGAAAAACAAGCAATGGGGAAAGGATTCCCTATTTAATAAATGGTGCTGGGAAAACTGGCTAGCCATATGTAGAAAGCTGAAACTGGATCCCTTCCTTACACCTTATACAAAAATCAATTCAAGATGGATTAAAGATTTAAACGTTAGACCTAAAACCATAAAAACCCTAGAAGAAAACCTAGGCATTACCATTCAGGACATAGGCGTGGGCAAGGACTTCATGTCCAAAACACCAAAAGCAATGGCAACAAAAGCCAAAATTGACAAATGGGATCTAATTAAACTAAAGAGCTTCTGCACAGCAAAAGAAACTACCATCAGAGTGAACAGGCAACCTACAACATGGGAGAAAATTTTCGCAACCTACTCATCTGACAAAGGGCTAATATCCAGAATCTACAATGAACTCAAACAAATTTACAAGAAAAAAACAAACAACCCCATCAAAAAGTGGGCGAAGGACATGAACAGACATTTCTCAAAAGAAGACATTTATGCAGCCAAAAAACACATGAAGAAATGCTCATCATCACTGGCCATCAGAGAAATGCAAATCAAAACCACTATGAGATATCATCTCACACCAGTTAGAATGGCAATCATTAAAAGTCAGGAAACAACAGGTGCTGGAGAGGATGTGGAGAAATAGGAACACTTTTACACTGTTGGTGGGACTGTAAACTACTTCAACCATTGTGGAAGTCAGTGTGGTGATTCCTCAGGGATCTAGAACTAGAAATACCATTTGACCCAGCCATCCCATTACTGGGTATATACCCAAAGGACTATAAATCATGCTGCTATAAAGACACATGCACACGTATGTTTATTGTGGCACTATTCACAATAGCAAAGACTTGGAACCAACCCAAATGTCCAACAATGATAGACTGGATTAAGAAAATGTGGCACATATACACCATGGAATACTATGCAGCCATAAAAAATGATGAGTTCATGTCCTTTGTAGGGACATGGATGAAATTGGAAACCATCATTCTCAGTAAACTATCGCAAGAACAAAAAACCAAACACCGCATATTCTCACTCATAGGTGGGAACTGAACAATGAGATCACTTGGACACAGGAAGGGTAATATCACACTCTGGGGACTGTGGTGGGGTCGGGGGAGGGGGGAGGGATAGCATTGGGAGATATACCTAATGCTAGATGACACGTTAGTGGGTGCAGCGCACCAGCATGGCACATGTATACATATGTAACTAACCTGCACAATGTGCACATGTACCCTAAAACTTAGAGTATAATAAAAAAAAATATATATATATACCCTCTAGGTGCACAACAGACAGTCCCCTGTGGGATGCCTTTTGCATTAGGGGATCATCAGTAGGGAAGCACTGGTAATTTTTTTATTTTTTTACCAAGCCTCCACTATTAAATCATGGTGTAGTTGAAGTCTATGAACAATTTAAGGATTAGGGTTATTAATTCGTCTACAGGCTGTTTAATTATCTTTCTTTTGGTTTCTTATTCAATTTTTAACATAATTTAACTGAAAAACACTCACTACAGATTTTGTCAACTGTTCAATTTAAACAAGAAATCTGAATATGTTAATCTAAAAACCTAACTCTATAGAAAGTACTAGATGTTCAATTTGAACAAATATTAGGTTGGTGCAAAAGAAATTGCAGTTTTTGCAATTAAAATAATGGCAAAAATCGCAATTACTTTTGCGCCAACCTATAATTACACTGGAAGTGAAATAAATCTGTTAAACGATGAACTAGTGGATCTCTAAGATTATGTAGACATTTAGGTTTAACATGACATATCTAATATTTAATTAAGGTTCCTGAGCATGCTATTACTTATGAAATATTAAGTATTTCATTATGTTGCGACAAATAAAAAAATAAAGAAAAGAGGAAAAAGGGAAAAGGTTTCATGGTGACAGAGGAAACCTGTGATCTTGGAAAATCATTCTATCTCTAGAACGCCATCTGCTTGTGTGGAAAAAACAACCCTGGTCAACTGTATCTTGAGGCCTCAGTGGTTGCTCAGCCCCAAAAGTTTGGAGGGGCCCCCTTGAGTTGAGAAATGTGGATCTAATTCTCAACGCCCTGAAGTTTTTATATGTGTAGAACACCTTTTGGTTAGAACTTATTGTCTGTTACGGCTTTGGTAAAATAGGAAACAGTAAAGCAACTAAATAAAAATGGCTTTACAACAAACCTTTGACAGAGGAAAGACAATAAATAGTTTCTAGCATAATAGTAATATTGAATTAAAGCTATACTATGAAAACTGTATGAAATAATGTATTAGTGGCTGTCTTTCTTTGTTGAACTTTTTCCAAAAAGGTGATATATATGATATATATGAAAGGTGATATATATGATATATATGAAAAGGTGATATATAAATTCAAAATGCAGAACACATTTTATTTGGCAGTGATAGCATTTACTTTGAGGAATACAAAGGATTATTGATAAATGAGAGCTATAAATAAAAACTGTCAAAAATCTCAGATATAGTTTTGGATATGATATCCAGGAATTAAGTCATGATGATATATATTCAGGTGGATAGTAACATCAGCATTATAAAAATATATCTGAAATATATAAGTAGTAGTAATTTAAATATTAACCCAGTAAATTAAGAAATGAATGCTGAATAATTTTATTACTTATTATTTATTATTTATTCATATTTAATACAATAAATTTTTATATGTTGTAGTACAATGGATCATAAATGGTGAAGTAAAGTGGACAAAATATGTGTTTTTCTTTGCCAGCATTTATCATAACACAGGTTTGAGAGTAATAATCATTGAGAGAAATAAGCTTGAGCTGTTGAATATTGACTAATAAATTCAGGAATGATGAATAAGATCTAGAAAGGTTTAAAGTACAATGTTATAAAGGCTTTAGAACAACTTTTAAAAAACATATTTCAATGTGTAAAGAAGGTATCTCAGCCATCAGCTAAGTAAGAATATTGGGCTAGTCTGTCAAATTGAATCACTTCCCTTCATTTTCTAAAAACCCAACATGTAAATGATGCTTATTTCTGCTTATTAACCCATGGCCCATGTTAATTATGCAGGCTTTACAAATACTCCTTATTTGTAAGTTGGTTCATTTGATTATTTCATAAGTGACTAGAGAGGGAGATAATGAAAAGGTGATGTGAAGTCAAACACAGTTTCCACCTTAAGAAGTCACCTCCATTAAAGAGCCTTGTTCATCCCAGCAGGTTTATCTCAGAATGCTATTAATTCAATCTTTCTTCAAAATATGGAAGCTATGATTTTCTGTCTTTTAAAGTCAGAAAGTGAGAGAAAAACAGATTAAGCAGCTATTACTAATATTAAATGCTTTTTTCAAATGTGTTTTTCATTAATCTTTTACTAGTATTGTCTCAAAACATTAAATTAACTTTTAATTTTACTTTATTAATGAGCAGAAACTGTTTGATGCTGAGAATAACTATTAAAAGCTTTATATCATATATCATATACTAAGGGATTACTGAAACTTGTGCCTCTGCTTTCAAAGAGAATATTCTTCAATTGCAATACCTCTTAAAAATTTTTATTTTGTAAAATTAAATTATAAGAAACAAACCAAACAAGTCCTAAAGTTTTATTAAAATAGATACATTAAATAATATATAGAAGATTGGGTGGTCAGTTTTCTGCATCTGATTATGCATATTCAGATGCAGAATGTGTTGGAAGTTATGTTTTCAAAAACAAATTTTTATCACTATCAAAAGTAGATGTTTACTCTAGAAAATATAGAAAATACAAAGAAAAAAGAAGCAAAACTCTATATATAATGGGATATTTATTTCTTAATTGTTAATTCTATAAAAATGAAATATTACATAATGTTGTGTATCTAGCTTTTCTCTTTCAGTAGTACTTGATGGAGTTCCTTAAGCATTATATGGTGTAGTTCTAAATTATTATTTTAAATATTTAAAACACAATAATTCTTTTTATTCTTTATTGATTGGTGGTCATCTTGATTCTAGTTTATGGTTACTATGAAAAATATTTCAAGAACAATAATTGTTTTTTTGCTTATATTTTGTTATTTTATTTGCCAGGGATCAAGTCTCAGAAGAACTGCTCAAATTAAAAATGTATAATTGTTTCATTCCCATAGAAGCTGCTCTTCTATTTTTATTGATTACATTATCCATATTTAATTCTTTTATTCAAGTTTCCTAAATTTTTTATATTTGATCATATTTTCATTTAATTATTTCCGTTCTCTCTTTCAAAGATATTAATAATGTGCATACTAAGGTCCCTTTGCTGGTTTATCATTCTTTCCAATTATATGTAAAATTCAGTTCATTTCAACTTAATTAGGTTTGCGTTTTTGGCTCTGCTCTACAAGCTCTTGTTATGTTTTTAGAAGTGTTTATTCTTTTTTTATGCTCTGCATTAGGTTTTATATTTCTAATGGCTTATTTTTTTCTAAATATATTTTAAAATTCTTCAATATCATTTTGTTATTTTTGTTATTGCTTCTCTAGATTTTTACTGTCTCATTTGTTCACTTATATAAATATAATTCCTTCACTTTAAAAAAATTAACAATAATATGTAATTTTTATATCCTTTGTGGCAACCCCTTGGAAGTAAGTGACCTCTTTGACATATACTCATGATTTTCTCATTCTTTTCTTACATATTTAGTATATTATTAGCTTGTTTTCTTTTTCATGGTTATTTATCCTCATATTCTTTTTGCTTTTTCTGGAATTTTCAGAAGTTTTATTTAGGAAGTGGCAAGGAATATATTCCTGAAAAATGTCAGTTATCATCATGGCTCATGATTATCTTTGTGAGACAAATTCTGTTTAGCATATTTCTTCTGGAAGAAATAAGAAAGATATCACTGCAGGATGTCTCCCAAAAGAAATGACCATTCCAATAACTTTTGAAATTTCTTCCGCTACATGTTTTTATTTTTTGCATGTTTAAATAAGCCTGGATTTTTTTAACCCTAGCATAATTACAGTGGTTACAATTCCTAAATTTTTCATAATTTTGTCTATCAGTTTGCAACAAAATTGTTGCCTTCAACATTTTCTCATGATAATGTGGGATAATCAATGATAGGTTAATAATTTTCAAAATAATACTGTGCACCAAATATAAGTATTTATATGTTTGTATTCATATATACACATAAGTATGTATATGATATATATGTATATTCACAATATTCACACAGACACAGTGTGTATACATATATGTGTGTGTGTATTTGTGTGTGTGTTCATACTCCATAATTTCTGGTACATATTTAATATTAGTATTTTTTAATAGGCAGATTATAAGTACTACAGTATAAAGATACATCCCATTATTTATTTACCTGAATATAATGTTTATTCGTATTGGTGTTGAAAGCTAAAATTCTTTTAATATTTTTATTTCATTGATAATAGTTCTGTGCTTGTCTAGTTCAAGTATGTTTACCTAACCATTTGATAAAACAATTATATAGTTACAACACCATCAGGCTAATCATATTGATTTGTTCTGATTTGTTTATAATTGTTAAGTAATTATAATAAGCATTTAATAGAGTATCACAAGTTATTTTAATAGAAAATGTCAATATTCCTATGAATAAATATCAGAACTATTGTGTTTGCTTAGGGGAGTAACTTACTCCTTCAATAAACTTTTCATTCATATCCAGTGTTGCCATGCATTTTTTCCTGGGTTTGGCCAGCAAAATCACTGCCTGTGACTATTGCACTGTTACTTTGCAAATAGCTGAGGTTTTGTGATTATTCACTGTACCTCAGTGTTTATCATATATACTCATAGAAGTAAATAGTAAAATACATTATAAATGTGTATAAATTGTTTTCTCTTTCTGTATAAAGAAAGTCTATGGAAATATTTATTTTTCATAATTGAAAGAGTAAATAGAAACATAAGTAAGCATTGGGAGAGTATACATTCACTATCTCAAAGGAGAAGCTAATGAGAAAAAACATATCCATTATTGAAATAACCTAGAAATAAGTCACCATTGAGTGATGAGGTCAAAATAAAATATACTTCAAGTAAAACAATTATGCAACTAGAATATAATTTGGATGTAGAATTGAGGAGGTTTTGTGTTTAAATGCAGTTTCACAGCACTGTTCATTATAAAAGCCAACTACCATAAATGTTTATACTGAAAAAATATACTACATGGGTTGGTGAAAGGAATAAATCTATATAAATTATGTATCTATTATATATCCGGATCAATCTGTATATCTTTGTATATTTGTCTCATGTCTGTAAATTTGAGGAAAAAATAGGGTTGCATTTGAATAAGCACATGCTATTTGCTACACTTATTTGCTAGTCTTTTTCTATGCTGAATTCCTTCAAGCTGTGTTAAAACAAAACTGGTTACTTGAATAAAATAAATGATTACCTTAATTTTTTTACTCAAACTGCATGTACTACTGAACATTCCTCTCTATTACCTCTAACATTCCTTCATCGAAACACGTTTTACAAAGATAAAAAGTTGTTGGTGCCTAGTTTATCTGATTCTAACTAAAACCCAAGTAGGTCAGTTTCTTTCACCATGGAAACATTTCATCAGTGAGATAATGAGCTGATAATGAAGATACCAGTTAAATTATGGACCCAATATTAACAAAGAGAGATGCACTCAAGAGGTGATTTGAGAGAAGCAATAAACACCAAAACAGCAACAACAACAACAAAACATTATCATTCATGTGAAGTAGTGGAACAAATTACACACATTTCAAAGATCAAAATATTATATTTGAATATTGCTAGCCTTGGTACTGATTTGTGTTTTCATTGCATGATATAAAATAAATTGAATTTTTATTAACCCTTCATACATCTGACTTGAACTTTCAGATTTTATCAGTCAGGTAAAGCTAAGGAATTCCGTTGTGTGACATAACATTTCTGAAACATCCCAAGACACTTCTCTTTTCATCTATAGAGTATATAACTTTGAAATGGCTGAACCATATTCAGGAAAACAGCGACAACTTTTGAGATTAACAATACTTCATGGTAATTCTTTAGTGTGTATCAGAGTAGTTATATTGAAATAGAGTGACATAATACCCAAATGAACCTTGCCAAAATCTAATAAAATACATTGGCTAGTTAAAATAGGAGATAAGAAAGAGTGGAGACTGTTTTGTTTCCTCAGCTAAAGCATAGTATCACTGTCTTCTTCCCTCCAATCTTTCTCTTTTGCCATCTGCCACTTCTGAAAACTGACTTTTTATTGTGATTACAAAATGCCTGCTAAGAGCTCCCAGATCTGCATTATTCTGTCATGAAACAAGGGTAAGATTCCAGATGAAATATAGGACATCCTGTTAAAATTGAATTTCTGATAAACAGCAAATAGTTTTTAGTATAAGTATATCCTATGCAGAATTATTGACTGTTTATCTGAAATTCAAATTTAAGTGGTTAACCTGTATTTTAGTTGCTACATAGTAAGATTGCCAGCAATCTTACTAATGGGAGCAATATAATTTTGTATCTGGATATCCATAAAATGCCGTCTACGTACTCCTGGCTGCCGTGCTCAAGATGGATTTGTTGAATTCCATTGTTGGCCATTCAGCTAGTAAATGCATCTGTTTATGGCTTGATTATCATGGGTCTTATCTCTCTCTGCTTCTGGAAACTCAAAAAAAAAAAAATAAATAAATAAGAAAGCTTGTTTTCAGAAGTTCCTGCAAAATATTTTCTCATGCCTCATTTTCCAAATACAGGTCATGTTTCTAAACATGAACAAATAATGGTTGTCAAGGAATGTTATTATGTGGGTTCTGTTAAGCATGAGCTGTATGGTACACTAAGTTGCATTCTACTAAATTTCTGAATATGCATAACTAGAATACACTAAAATTTAGATAGTTATGATGTGAAGGGGACTAAATACTGGGGAAGCAGTAACAAGATTTATATTACAAAGTATAACAAGGGGCAATATAGTATAGTTTTAAGTAACATGGATTTTGAAGCTAGACCCTTTGGATCTTCCATTTATTAGCTATGTAACCTTGGGTAAATTACTTAACCTCTCTGTTTTTCAGGTACCATATTTCTGAAGTCGGCATTATAATACAATTTACTTTCTCATAGGTTTTATTTAATATATGTATATATATCAATGTAGGCACTTAAACAAAAATTGCCATGTAGAAAACTCTTTAAAGTAGCAAATCTAAAATAATATATTGGAACATTTAAAAATAAACTATTATTAACTCATAAATGTCTTAATTAGGCAATTGTCAAAGTGTGATTACCTTTAAAATATTTTGTAAGGCTACATCTTGAGTATGTTATTGGTAAAACATTTACTGGCAATAAGGACATTAATTTAGATGCTTACTGCAATTTAGCTAGTACTCACTCATGTCATTTGTTTTATATCAATTTCTGTAGATAATGTGACAATTACTAATAGTTATATATCTCAATTTTATTGTATTAAGTAGTTGCTTACAATAATTATTTGGTGGCCACTTATATTTTCATAACCTTATAGAACAAGGGCCAGTTGAAAAATCAGAGATGAATCAGAGTATCCGAATGGGAATATACTAATCAAACAAAATGAATGATATAATTTCTAATACTCTATAATAATATAATTTCTAATATACTATAATAATATATTGATAGGAGAGAGAGTTTTATCTATATTCTCATTGAGCTTTTCCCTGAAAGAGCTACATAACATAGTGTTTAGGCATATAGTAGAGTCAGTAAACTTATTCCATATTCAGATATTAAGAGAAATTCAATTTTTTCATTTATTTTTATTTGATATGTTATTTCCTATGAGTTCTCTACCCTCAAGTTGTTTTTAGTAGCAGACAAAACATAGGTGTTTTTAGGGACATAAAAGAGTAAGAACAAAGGTAGCTTGATGGGAATAGCATTGAACCTAAAAATTATTTTGGGCAGTACGGCCATTTTAACAATATTGATACTTCCTATCCATGAGCATAGGATGTTTTTCCATTTGTTTGTGTCCTCTCATTTCTTTGAGCAGTGGTTTATAGTTGTCCTTGAAGAGGTCCTTCACATCCCTTGTAAGTTGTATTCCTAGGTGTATTTTATTCTCTTTGTAGCAATTGTGAATGAAAGTTCACTCATGATTTGGCTCTCTATCATTAATGTATTGGAATCCTTGTGATTTTTGCACATTAATTTCATATCCTGAGATTTTGCTGAAGTTGCTTATCAGCTTAAAGGCTGAGATGATGGGGTTTTCTAAATATACAATCATGTCATTTGCAAAAAAAGATAATTTGACTTCCTCTCTTCCTATTTTAATACTCTTTATTTATTTCTCTTGCCTGATTGCCCTGGCCAGAACTTCCAATACTATGTTGAATAGGAGTGGTGATAGAGGGCATCCTTGTCTTGTGCCGATTTTCCAAGGGAATGCTTCCAGCTTTTGTCCATTCGGTATGATATTGGCTGTGGGTTTGTCACTAATAGCTCTTATTATTTTGAGATATGTTCCATCAATACATAGTTTTTTGAGAGTTTTTAGCATGAAGGGGTGTTGAATTATATCGAAGGCATTTTCTGAGTCTATTGAGAAAATCATTTGGTTTTTGTCATTGGTTCTGTTTATGTGTTGGATTACATTTATTGATTTTCCTATGTTGAACCAGCCTTGCATCCCAGGTATGAAGCTGACTTGATAGTGGTGGATAAGGTTTTGATGTGCTGCTGGATTTGGTGTTCCAGTATTTTATTGAGGATATTTGCATCGATGTTCATCAGGCATTTTGGTCTGAAATTTTCTTTTTTTATTGTGTCTCTGCCAGGTTTTGGTATCAGGATGATGCTAGTCTCACAAAATGAGTTAGGGAGGAGTCCCTTTTTTTTATTGTTTGGAATAGTTTCAGAAGAAATGGTACCAACTCCTCTTTTTTACCTCTAGTAGAATTCGTCTGTGAGTCCGTCTAGTCCTGGGACATTTTTGTTTGGTAGGTTATTAATTATTGCCTCAATTCCAGAACTTGTTATTGATCTCTTTGGGGATTCGACTTCTACCTGGTTTAGTCCTGGGAAGGTGTGGGTGTCCAGGAATTTATCCATTTCTTCTAGGTTTTCTAGTTCATTTGCGTAGAGTTGTTTATAGTATTCTCTGATGTTAGTTTGTATTTCTGGGGCATCAGTGGTGATATCTCCTCTATCATTTTTTATTGTGTCTATTTAATTCTTCTCTCTTTTCTTCTTTATTAGTCTGACTAGTGGTCTATCTACTTTGTTAATCTTTTCAAATAACCAGCTCCTGTCTTCACAGAATAAAAAAAAAACTAAATTTCTTATGGAAACAAAAAAAAGCCTGTTTAGCCGAGACAATCTTAAGCAAAAACAACAAACCTGGAAGCGTCATGCTACCTCTCTTCAAACTACACTAAAAGGCTACAGTAACCAAAACAGCATGGTAGTGGTACCAAAACAGATATAGAGACGAATGGAACAGAACAGAAGCCTCAGAAATAACACTACACATCTACAACTATCTGATCTTTGACAAACCTGACAAAAACAAGCAGTGGGGAAAGGATTTCCTGTTTAATACATGGCGTTGGGAAAACTGGTTAGCCATGTGCAGAAAACTGAAACTGGACCGCTTCCTTACACCTTATACAAAAATTAACTCAAGATGGATTAAAGACTTAAACATAAGACCTAAAACCATATAAACCTTAAAAGAAAACCTAGGCAATACCATTCAGGACATAGGCATGGGCAAAGACTTCATGACTAAAACACCAAAAGCAATGGCAACAGAAGCCGAAATTGACAAATGGGATCTAATTAAACTAAAGAGCTTCTGCACAGCAAAAGAAACTATCATAGAGTGAATAGGCAACCTACAGAATCAGAGAAAATTTTTGCAATCTATCGATCTGACAAAGGTCTAATATCCAGAATCTATGAGGAACTTTAACAAATTTGCATGGAAAAAGCAAACAACCTCATCAAAAAGTGGGTGAAGGATATGAACAGACACTTCTCAAAAGAAGACATTTATGCAGCCAACAAAGGTATGAAAAAAAAAGCTCATCATCACTGGTCATTAGAGAAATGCAAATCAAAACCACAATGAGATACTGTCTCACACCAGTTAGAATGGTGACCATTAAAAATTTAGGAAAAAAACAGATGCTGGAGAGAATGTGGAGAAATAGGAATGCTTTTATACTGTTTGTGGGAGTGTAAATTAGTTCAACCATTGTGCAAGACAGTCTGGTGATTCCTCAAGGATCTAGAATCAGAAACACCATTTGACCCAGTAATCCCATTACTGGGTATATACCCAAAGATTACAAATCATTCTCCTATAAAGACACATGCACATGTGTGTTTATTGCAGCACTATTCACAATAGCAAAGACTTGGACCAACCCAAATGCTTGTCAATAGACTGGATAATGAAAATGTGGCACATATACACCATGGAATACCATGCATCCATTAAAAAACGATGAGTTCATGTCCTCCGCAGGGGCATGGATGAATCTGGAAACCATCATTCTCAGTAAACTAACACAGGAATAGAAAACCAAACACTGGAGTTTGAAAGAAGAACATCACACACTGGGGCCTGTCGGGTAGTGGGGGGTTAAGGGAGGGATAGCATTACAAGAAATACCTAATGTAGATGACGAGTTGTTGAGTGCCGCAAACCACCATGGCATGTGTATACCTATGTAACAAACCTGCATGCTCTGCACGTGTATCCCAGATCTTAAAGTATAAGAATAATAAAAAAAGAGTAAGAATAAAATCCAATAACTTATTTTAAAGTTTTATAAGCAACCACTGCTTGGTAAACACTTTTCATGCTTTCACTATTTTGTTCCCTCAAAAATGTTCATGCATTCAACATTCTGTTCCCTCAACCTACTGTGTATAGAGTGGAATAGTATAAAAAGACTGTTATGATAGAAAGGAAATGTGAAGTGGAAAGAATACAGAATCTTTCCCTATATACATGTCCTCTAGGTTCTCCTGGCTGATGTATTCAAGAGAGAATTGTTGAATTTTATTCTTAGGCATTCATCTACTAAATGTGTCTGATATTCGTGGCTTGATTATTGTGGGTCTTCTCTCTCTGCTTCTTTAATTTGAGCAGACCTTATTAGTAAACTATTTTGCTGCCTGATCATCCTTTGTCCATTATCTCTAATGGTCTACTGTATTCCACCTTTGGATTCTTGTTTAAGCAGTTTCCAATCTCTTTATCGAGGTGACATTATCCCTTGCTAGCTGTAGAACATGAATGGAGGTCATCTTGGCTTCAGTTTGGTTACACTTACCAATCCTAAAAGGCATGTGGAGATTTCTGGGTCTCACTAGGCTAAACGGAAACTGAAGGATATTCAAGACCGCCAGCTAATACCTCTTGCAAAACAGCACATCTGATGTTCCTTGTTTTATTTCCTAGAGCCCACTATGTTGGAGAGCAGCATGGTACAGAGTATTTCCTTAAAAAAATCTTAGAAGCAATGTATCTAAAAATATAAAAAATACCTTTACACTCACTCAGCTTTAAAATCTATGCAAGTCAGATCAAGGCATCTGCCTGCTGATTATTTCTATCTGTGCTCTCTGCCATACAAACCCCTGGGACCAGGGCAGGTGCTCTTTCTCCCTTGCCTTTTACTATATGATTGAGAACTTTTACAGGTTAAATTCTGCAATCTAGGCTCACGATATGATAATGCAAAAAAAAAAAAAGAGAAATATAAAATGTTTTTGTTTTCATAAAGTTTTATACTCAAAATTCAAGTAACAATATTCTATTCTTTGCCATCTTGAAAATGAATCAAATGACTCAAATAATTACTTATAATATTTCAGAATAAAAAATGAGTTTAAAATTAATATGTGTATACATATATATGTATTTATTTCAAGATATTTCTTATGGTACCTAAATGTATAGATTGAGCTGAATTCTCAGCTGGTGCTTTTTTATTTTTTATTATTTTTTTTTAGGGATATCATCACATTTAAAGGGACGCTTGTTTGGAATTCTTTAAAAAGGGGGAAATCAGTGGGTTCTAGTATTCATTCAATTTTAAAGAAGCTTGATAGTGGCATGGAAATTAGCTAATCCTCAAGGTCAGTCTTCCTTAATGTAATGTCCCTAATGATATCTTAGATAGGTTTTAGAAGAGTGATTTTTAAATTTTTTTAGGGGAATGATTGCACACATTTTATTAGAACCTTAAAGAAGTCGAACAAATAATAACATAAAAACAGTTTTACAAATTTTTCTCTAAGTTGTTTAAATTTGTAAGTTCTTTGCCACATAGTAAACTAGGGGAGATTCCATGGAATACACATATTTTATCCTTCCTTAAAAGATGGTCAAGCATTTGCTTATAAAAATGTATGAGAAGCTTAAGATGATAAGGAAAAATAAGACAACAACCAACTATATGTCAAATATTGTAGTACATTTTATATTTGAAATTGTATTAGCATCGTAGAGTTTTAATTTTGATTTGTATGTGAGAAGGTCGCTTTTCAAGTACTATTTCTGCCATGTAATATCAGTGACAATCCACATTCTCTCTGAGTTTCAAAATCCACATCTATAAAATTGTCCAGAGAAAGAGCAAATATGATATATGCAAATAATGTTTTTTCTCTGGAATATATTAAACCATGTACATATTACTATTAAGGATATAGTTTACTGAAAGAAAACATTGCTGTTGTAGAGTACTCTGTAGAAACAACATATGTTAAATATTTTTGTTAACTGATAAATAAGGCAGTGAGTTCTATTTAATAAAATAAGGAAAACATCAATTATAAATAAGACTTTTAACTAAATTAGAGTACAAATCATAATTATTTGATAGAATATACTAAATACTAGGTCTTTCTCCTTACAGTTGAATTGAATTGTAACAGACATGAGGTTTATTGAATATATATAGAATGAAGTATGTTGAAGGCGATGACATTTAAAATAACTTCCCATTTAAAATAATTTTAAGAAGAATATGTATGTATATAATTTTTTTCTTCAAGATGACTTAAAAGAGTGCCTATTCTTTTTAATTTATTGTCACTAGATGGCATACTATATGTAAAAATAAATAATGTACTAAATAGACAAAATTGAATTGTTACGTAAATACAAATGTGTAAACTGTAAAATAAATCATCAACTTGAAGAACCAATAATTATAAAATAAACTAAAATTTATTATTTAAGGGTTTTCTTCAAGGTTATTTTTAATCACCATGATTAAATAACTAAGAAGAAAATAACAATTTTATTTTTAAGCACTAATTTGGATATAACTTATAGAAGTTCTGGAGTTCTAAAATAGTTAATTTAGAAGATTGTTACATTGAGATGAATACCAAATGAATGAAAGTAATTTGGCTTAACAAAAAAAATCCAAATTTACAAAAGAGGATGAAAATATATTGGCAACATTTAGCAGATACTCAAATTATTTCTGTCACTCACCTGTATTATTTATTTTTAAAAATGCTAAGAGAAAGATAGTGTTTCATCCTAATGCACCCAAACGTACATTAAATTTTCTGTCAGTGTCACAAAACAGAAAGAGGTGAGAGCTAGTATTTTGATTATTTACTGCTTTATACAATCTGTGCTAATTACTAAGTTTTAAAGCAACAATAGTTTGTTGGTTCGTGATTTTTTTTTTTTTCAATTTGATCAGTGCTCAATGGGAAGAGCACATCTCTATTCTAAGTAGAACAACTTAACTGGGGGTAAAAATATAATTGTAAAATGGTTTACTCTTGTGAATGGTTGTTGGCTGGTGGCTCATCTGGGAGTTTTAGCTAAGACTCTAAAATCTCTTCCACTCGGCTACCTGGTTTGTTGTTGTTTTTGTTGTTTTTGTCACAGTATGGCAGGCTGTTTTCAGAAAGAGGACGCAGAACTTAACAATCTTCTTAAAAGGTAGACATGAACCTGGCAGAGTCATCTCCACCGTATTCTTTTGAACAAACAGTGACAGGATCAGTCCATATCAAGGTAGAGAAATAGAAAAAACATTTATCTGAAGATAGTGGTAAAGAATGTAGAGTTCCTTTCAATATGCAAGAGTCTACTCTCAAGACACAATTATTTGCATAATTCTCAAATGGAAGATATCCATTCTTACAATAAATCCAACTAAAGATTTAACAAATTATTCGTCATGCTCAAAATCCAAAATGCGTTCATTAGTATCAGGAGGGCCAGGTGTGGAGGTTTTTTAGGTGTGGTTCCTCCTGATTAAAAAAAAAATTACAGTGGTAAAATAAAAAATTGTGTCCCCCTCATATACTCAAATAAAATGACAAAAATAGGGAGAGTTCAATGAACACTAATTCAAAAAGGAGGATATAGGAGGCATAAAGAAGTCATTGCTTCATGACAATTCTAAAATCCATCTGAGCAAATATCACCAGTTGTTTAATTAGAACTCAGTTCTGTTCCCTTAGAATGGTTTTCTGTGGCTCTTGGTTTCACCCCTTGAGCTCTTGATTCTGCCTTTTTCCATTAGAAATATGTTAAATTTGTAGTTGAATAGCTTTCTCAATTTGGTTCATGTTCATAGAATGCTAAGGGCCTAAAGATCCCTTTTCATTTTGAACTTTCTCTGTCCTTTTCAGTCCAAGTGAAATCATCTTTTGAAAACTTTGTTAGTTTCTCATACACAATTTATATTCAACTCAATTAGACAAAAGTCAAGCCCCCCATTTCCTTCGAAGGTGAGCCCTTCTCTCTCTTAGGTCATAATTGAGGGTATTATTGGATAACACTCTTACAATGCTTAGAAATTCTTTTGTCTAAGTGCATGAGTCTGTGAGACATAACCTTAAATCTTTCTGAGGTCTTAGCAAAGGGTCTTAAACAAGCACCCCATTGATATATTTGACTCAGAAACAACTTTTTATTGGAATTAAAGTAACACTGAATTTGATCTTTTTCGGAAGCCGTTAACTATTTTAGTAGCTTATTGTTTACAGACCTGGAATAGAAAAGAGTTTTATTTTCAAACGTATTCTTGGTCCTTTATATTTATTTTAAATTACAATTTAAAAATGAACAGTTAATTTTCACTTTTTTTTCAGTTTACATTTATCATAACAGTCTCAAAGACAACAGCTTGTACTTGCATAGATCTGCCTGAAAATCTCCTAGGCCATATCCACAAGTTAATTAGATATCATTGCTGTTTTTGGAATATCTCAAGTAATATTGTTGACCAATGTTACTCCATTTTCCTCCTATATCCAATAACAATATCACTGTCCTTCCGACCTTCCCAATAATCTTCTTGAGTACTCTCCTTTTCACTCAGTTCTACAGGTAATTTCATGTGTTTTAGGCTTTTGTTTCAACAGCAAAGCATTTCTAAAACCAAATTTTGTTTTAGCTACATATTTATGAATGAAAAACCACCCCAAATCCTATTGACTTAAAACAACAGCAATCACATATTTTTTTCACGATTTTGTGAGTTAATCAAAGCTCAGTGGGAATAGCTTGTCTCTGTTTTATGTGGTATTAGCTGAAGTGACTTGAATGAGGCTGGAATATTCGTATCCACATAGCTGGCAAGTTACTGCTGATTTGTCATTGAGAAACTCAGTTCTCTTGGCGGGGAACCTCAATTCTCCTTCATGTGGTTGCTTGGGCTTACTCACACATGACATTTGGGCTCAAAGATGGAAGAAGCAGGAGTTTCCAGTCTTCTTAAAGACTAGGTCCTGAACAGGCACAGTGTCATTTCCAATATATTTCTGTTCCACAAATCATTCACAAGCTTAGCTTGGTTTAGAAGAAATTTGAGAAATAGACCTTATCTCTTGGTGGGGAAATGAAGTAAAATGTTTTCATTATTATTCTACCACAGCTAGTAATATTGTTTATTATATGTATATAATGTATATTTTATTTATATGTCTATTATATATATAATGTGTGTATATATATACACATATATAATAGACATATATAATACATTATATAAAGAATATATGTGTGTATATATAATGTTCATATATTTTTAAAGAAACTTTTTATTAATATAATGTGTATTATGTATGTCTATTATATATAATGTGTGTATAATAGACATATATAATAGACATGTATAATATACATTATATAAATAAATGTGTGTCTCTCTATATAATAGACATATATATAAAATGTGTGTGTATATATAATGTTTATATATTTTTAAAGAAACCTTTTAGCAATTTTGGAATACTTTCAGAATTACAGAAAATTTTAGAACTAGTACAGAGAGTTCTCATGTAACTCAAACCCAGTTTTTCCCATTGTCTGTATAATATAGTGCCATGGAGCAAGTATAAAAATTAAGAAACTGGTACTCATATATTAATATTAACTAATTTCTGACATATTTGGACTTTACTAGTTTTTCCATTAGCATTCTCTTTCTGTCTCAGATTCAAATCTAGGGCACCACACTGTAGTCAGTTGTCATGTCTCCTCTGATCTGTGACAGTTTCTCAGTCTTTCTTGGTCTTCCATGACCTTGACTGTCTTTAGAAGCATTGGCCAGGTATTTTATGTATAATGTCCCCAACCTGGAATTGTCTGATATTAATATTTTTTTCCATAATTAAACTGAAATTATAGGTTTTTGGGAAAAAATACTATACAGTGCCCTTGTCATCACATCATATCAGGTGATACATGATATCACTGGGGATGTTAACCTTTAAAGGTTAGGGTAGCATTTTCCAGATTCATACACTGTGAAAATGACTACTTTTGCCTTTCTGTAATCTATTCTTTGGAAATTATTCAGTATGTGTAGCCCACCCTCAAGCAGGGCCTGGAATATAATGAAGTTCTACTTCCTGAAGAAGAGTACATAGACATATATTAATGAAGTCTTGTAAGGAAAATTTGTTTATTCCTCCCTATTAATTAATATTTATATGGACTCATGAATATATACTTTCTATTTTGGTTTTTAATGCAATAGTATGTTATTTATTCATTCCTTAAATTGATCCAGCTCCGTTTACTGAGGGCTCTTTCAGGTTGGCTAATGTGTCCCTTTAACATACCTATTCTTTTAATCTTTTAAAATAAACTCTAAAAAATTTTGGAATACTTTTAGATTTACAAAAATGTTATGAACATAATACAGAAAGTTCACCTGTTTCCCGCACCTGGTTTCCCTCATTATTGATAACTTCTATTAGTGTGGTACTTTTATGACAATTAATGAACCAATGATCAGACATAATTAACTTCGGTCCATACTTTATTCCCTAATATATATATTTTTTTCTGTTCCAGGACTCCTTCCTGGATGCCATTTAGTTGTCATATCACTGACGGAACATTATGTGTAGTGGAAGACTGTAATAGTTTTGTAAAATATTCTTGTTTTTATTACCTTGATAGTTTAGAGAGTTTTTGGTCAGATATTTTTCAAAATATCTACATGGGTTATTTCTGATTTAAGTCTCACGATTAGACTGGGGTTATGAGTTTTGGGGAGGATGATTACAGAACTAAGTTGCCATTCTCATGAAATTGTATCTAAGTTATGTCTTACGGCTGTTGATACTAACATTGATTACCTGACAGAGGTAGTGCTCGTCAGCTTCCACATTGTAAAGTTACTCTTTTTCCCTCTTTGTATACTTTATTCTTTGAAATAATTCACTCTGCTCAGCCCGCACTGAGGGATTTTGGATTCCTCTGCACTGGGAATCTGTCTATTCTCTCACATTTATTAATTTATCCAATTATATATTTCACTAGGTATTAAAAGATAATTACTTTATATATGAGGTTACTATTTGATAATGTACTGCTGTCCTCCTCATTCTCTTCCTCCCTCCCTGCTTCCCCCCACCAAATAATAATAAATAATAATAATAATAATAATAATAATAATAATAATAATAATGCACTGCTTATTTGATTGCTCAAAAGGTTCTGGCTTTGGCCATTGTGAGCTCTTTCAGTTAGTGCCTGTGTCCCTCTAACATACCTCTATATTGTGATTTTGGTGAATTCTTCCTTATCTAACCTTACAAGATACTCTATACTCATTGCCGGACCCACTCCTGGAATTAATTATTTAGTAAGGAACCCAGGCTCCGTTTATTAGAGAATTATATTAGAAACCAGTATCTCAGAGCTGGATGTGCTGCTACTACTGCACTGTCCTTGCCTCTAGGCCTCTCACTTAACAGAGTTAAGATGATATATCTCTGTATGATGTATATAATTTTGTAATGTTTGTATATACTCATATCTATAAATATTTCTATATTAAGCTAAACGTGTTCATACTGATGTTTTCAACTCTAATACATTACCATATGAATTATTATTTTCTTTTTGTTTGTCTAACACCTCACATTTCAACAATGAGAAGCTTTCCTTCTACCATCTGTTATCACTTTACTTTGTTGTTCAATTCCACCATATATGTACTGTGGTTTCAGAATTGTTAAGCAATACTCCCATGGGGAACAATTTCCCAACTCGAACCCAGTACTTATATAAATTTCCTTTGGCACACAGTCTTAAATTCTCAGCTTATTTACAAAGTTACTTAGAATAAAAACATTTCCTTCTCTCCCTTCAATAAATTTACTTCATGCATTTGTAATATATTTAGGTTTAATCATCACAGATTGCATGTTACCCTGGGATTCCTGGACTTCCTAATGATATTTTAAAATTTGCATTTGTTAAACTTCACTCTTTATGCTGTAATTTGTTAAGGTTCTATGCAAATATCCATTTGCATTTTGACAAATCCCAGGTGTTATGTATTCACCATTACAAGAGCATACAAAATAATTTCACCAGCTAAAAATCCCCTGTGCCACATATATTCAACCTTCACCTTTTCCATATCACTGATCTATTTAAGGTCTCTACAGTTTTGCCTTACAGAAATTCATATAAATAAAATTGTTAACTCCATAGCCTTTTCAGACTGGTCTTTTTCACTTATAAATAAGAATTTAAATTTTGTTCATGTTTTTACATGGCTTGATAGCTCATTTCTTTTTATTGCTGAATAGTATTTCATTGCATGGATGTACCATAGGTACATTACCCATTCACCAAATGAAGAATATCTTGGTTGTTTCCAGTGTTTATACATTATAATAAAGATAATGTAAATATTCACATGCAGGTTTTGTGTGGATATAAGAGTTCAAATAATTTTTATTAAATAATTAACTTATATCTGTATTTATTATTATATCATTAGAAGCACAATTGCTGCATCATATAGTAACACTATATTTAACTTTGTCAGAAACTGCGAAATTGTCTTTCAAAGTGGCTGTACCATTACTTTGCATTCCCACCAGAAATAAATGAGAGTTCATGTTGCTATGCATCCCTTCTGGTAGCAGGCATTGACAAATTTACTTTTTTTAATTTTTAGATTTTAGTCATTCTAATGGATATCTCAGTTTTGTATTCATTTACATTTCTCTAATGACAAATGCTATTGAACACATTTTCATATGCTTTTTGCCATGAGTGTATCATCTTTGGTGATGTGTCTGTTAAGACTTCGCCATTTTTTATTTTGGTTTTTGTTTATCTGTTTTGAAGTATAAGAGCAATTTTTATATGCTGGACGTAAGTCCTTTATACAAATGTGATTTGCAAATACTGTATCACTGGCGAGGAAAAATATTTTCATTCTCTTATATTTTTCATAGAGCAAATTTTTTGATTTTAATAAAGTACTACTTATTTTTGGTGTATATTTGACCTTTTGATATTGTATCTAAAACTCATCGCCAAACCCATGATTGCACAGATTTTCTTTTATAATTTGTTCTAGAAGGTTTATAGTTTTATACCTTACATTTCAATCTGTGATACTTTTAGGTAAGGTGTAAAGTCTATGTCTAGATGCATTGTTTGTATACAGAAATCCAAATTTTTCAGCCACATTGGGTGAAAAGACTATCATTTATCCATTGATTTACTATTGTACCGTTATCAAATATCAGTTGAATATGCCCCTATGGGTAAAGTCCTGGACTTTATATTCTCCATTGATCTACGTGTCTATTCTGTAATCAATTTCATGATGTCTTAATTACTATAGTATTAGACTATTTGTCAAAATTGGATCTTCTGAGTCTTCCAACTTCATTTCTCTTTTTCAGCATCTTGTTGGCTTTTCTTCGTGTTTTCTTTTTCTTATTTATTTTAGATTCAATTCTTTAATATCTTCAAAATATGTTGTTGGGATTTTAATTATAATTGTACTGAATCTATAGATCAAGTGACAAAGAATGAACAGCCAAAATACTGAGTCTTTCCATACATGAATATGTATATTTCTTTATTTAGTTCTTATTTATTACTTTCATAAATGTTTTGTTGTTTGTCATAGGCATATTCTGTACATATTTCTTAGATCTATATCTACATACCTCATTTTATTTTAATCTGTTATAAACAATACATACATATAGATAGATAGATAGATTCAATCTTTAAACTTGATTGTGCATTGCCACTATATAAGAAAGCATTTGATTTTTTTCCTGCCAAATTCAATTTTGGGATTAGGGCACATATGTGCGGGTTTGTTATATATGTAAATTGCATATGTAGAGGTTTGGTGTACAAACTGTATTGTCACCCAAGGAATGAGCATAGTTCCTGATAGGTATTAGGTTTTTGCCATTACTTTCAATGGCAAAAACTGCAATTATTTTTGCACCAACCTAAAAGATTTTAGATCTATGTACTCCTCCCTGCTTCCACTCTGAAGTAGGCCCTTGTGTGTATTTTTCTTCTTTGTGTCCATGTGTACTTAATATTTACCTCCCACTAATAAGTGATAACATGTGGTATTTGGTTTTCTGTTCCTACATTAATTCACTTAGGAGAATGGCCTCTAACAACCTTGCATCCCAGGAGTAAAGCCGACTTGAATAGCGTGGATTAGCTTTTTGATGTGCTGCAGGGTTCAATTTGTTGGTATTTTTTTTTTTTTTTTTTTTTAGTATTTTTGCTATTCTATGTTCATCAGGCATATTGGCCCACAGCTTTCCTTTGTCGCTTTGTCTCTGTCAGATTTTAGTGTCAGAACGATGCTGTCCTTATAGAATGAGCTGGGGAGGAGTTTCTCCTTTTCAATTTTTTCTGCAAAATTTCATTATAATTGATACCAGCCCTTCCTTATATGTCTGGTAGAATTCAGCTGTGAAAAATATATGATCCAAGGGTTTTTCTGGTCGGTGGTTTTCTTAGTTCATTCTCACACTGCTAATAAAGACATATCCAAGTCCTGATTATTTTTAAAGGAAAGAGCTTTAATTGACTCACAATTCAGCATGGCTGGGCATGCCTTAGGAAACTTACAATCATGGCAGAAGGGGCAGCAAACATGTCCTTCTTTACATGGCAGCAGGAAGGAGAAGAATGACAGTTGAGTGTAGAAGGAAGCCCCTCATAAAACCATCACATCTCTTGAGAACTTACTATCATGAGAACAGAATGGGGAAAAACACCTCCACGATTCAATTACCTCCTACCTGGTCTCTCCCACTACACATAGAGATTATGGAAACTACAGTTTAACATGAGATTTGGGTGTGGACACAGCCAAACCATAGCATTCTACCCCTGGCCCTTACCAAATCTCATATCCTCACATATCAAAACACAATCATGATTTTCCAATAGTTCCCAAAGTCCTGGCTCATTCAATGAGGAGATTTCTTTTTTTTTGGTTCTATTCTCTAGGAGGACCTGCCATTAGCAATGGGAAATACCTTCCCCTATTTCTTGTCTGCACATTGACAGTAGGATTATTTTTAATATGGTCCAGTAAAATACTTTTAAAAAAATCCAGGCTTATAGTATCTTTCAAAAATTATATAGGCTTCTAATCTATTTGCTCCTAGTTAGTTCCAAGAGAAAAAGAATCCAAAGTTAATTTTTGAAGATGCAATTTCAAATACACTTTATTTCTTTGTTTTATAGCCTCCGTATCTCTCTCTTGTAATTTAATGGAAGCTACCAAAAAATGATTTGAAAAACTAAGGACACACCCTTAGTTTTATTTTCACATTAAGTAATTTTGCACAAGATGAGATTTTACTGTACAATAATACTCAATGCCTCTTACAGTCTCATCTTTTACTGTTTTTATTTAGTTCGGATGAAACTATCTTTCCAATCATGCAAATCTGTAAAATATGAAATTTATGTATTCCCATCATTTCTACTTGCATGTGGGTCAATTATTCTATGATCTCATTTTGTCATAATAACTTACTGAAATCGATCAGTATTGACCAAAATATACTTGCCAGTCTGTCTACCAACTCTTCATTTTAGCTACATGGTGAATAATTTGCCAAATACTGTGGTACTACATGATAAAGATTATCATCTTTCCTCCTTCCACATCGCCATCCTGTTTGACACCTGACTATATATATAATGTCAAGTATTATGTTTCTCTTATGCTGGCACTCCATTTCTGTACCAGAAATATACTATTTTCGATCATTTCTATATGGAATAGCATTGGATAGACTGTGCTGTGGTCTCAATGAACTCCCAAATCTTAGGGGCTGAACATATAGTTTTGCAATACAGTGTGATAGCAGTCAAGAGTCCAGCCTCAGACCATTTTTGTAGCTATGATATGTGGAATATATATGTACCCTTCAGAGTAACCATAAGAAAACATAGAGGCAGAACATCATATTGTAACTATTTTGGCACTATATTTTAGAGTCTATTAGCTAACACAGTCATGGGCCCCAACTATCATGGAAGCTGAAAAAATGTAGGAGAAAATAAGTACTTGTAGTTTCTAACTCACTATCATCATTTTGTCTTGACTATTTTTTTATTTTTTTGGTAAAAGTGTATGGGGGTAAAAGCATAATTTTGTTACATGCATGGTTTGTAGAGTGGTAAAGTCAGGGCTTTTAATGTATCCATCCCCCAAATAATATACATTGTACCCATTAAGTAATTTCTCATCATCTACTCTCCTCCCACCTCTTCACCCTTCCAAGTCTCCACTATCTGTCTTTCGACACTCTATGTCCATGTTTACATATTATTTAGCTCCCACTTATAAGTGAGAACATGCAATATTTGTCTTTTTGTGTCTGACTTGTTGCCACTTAAGATAATGGTATCCAGTTCCATCCACGCTACTGCAATAGACATGACTTCATTATTTTTTATGGTTGAATAGTATTCCATTGTATTTATGTGTGCCACATTTTTTTATACATTGATCCATTGATGGAAACTGAGGTTGATTCCGTATATTTGTTATTGTGAATAGTGCTGTGATAAACATAGGAGTGTAGGTATCTTTTTGATGAATTGCTTTATTATCTTTTGGATAGAAACTCATTAGTAAGATTGCTGGAATGAATGGTAGTTCTATTTTAGGTTCCTTGATAAATCCCCATATTATTTTCCATAATGACTGTACTAATTTACATTTCCACCAAGAGTATATAAGAGTTCCCTTTTCTTTGCATCTTTGGCAACATTCATTATTTTCAATAAGAGCTATTCTAACTAGTATAAGATGATATTTCATTCTGGTTTTAATTTGCATTTCTTTTATGATTATGATGTTGAACTTTTTTATATATTTGTTGGTCATTTTTAATGACTTCTTTTGAAAAATGTCAATCTATAGTCCTTTCTCCCTTTTTAATGAGTTATTTTATTTTGTTGTTGTTGAGTTATTTGAGTTCCTTCTGTATTCTGGATATAGACCCTTGTCAGATCCATAGATTTCAGATATTTTCTCCAGATTTTCAGGTTGTCTCTTCACTCTGTTGATTATTTCTTTGGCTGTGTAGAAATATTTTAGTTTAATTATGTCCCATTTGTCTATTTTTTTGTTGTTGTTGTCTGTCCTTTTGAAGTCTTAATTGTAAATTCTTTTCTTAGACCAATGTCAAGAAGAGTTTTCCCTAGTTTTTATTTTTTCTAGTATTTTTATAGTTTAAGATCTTACATTTAAGCCTTTAATCTGTGTTGAGTTCATTTTTGTATGTGGTGAGAGTTAAGGGTTCAGGCATTTGGCAATTCAACTGTCCTTGCATCATTTATTGAAAAGAGTGTTCTTTCCCCAGTGTATGTTCTTGTCAACTTTGTCAAAGGTCAGTTTCCTGCAAGGTTACAGCTTTATTTCTTGGTTCCCTATTCTGTATCAGTATTTTCAGTAAATGGTAACTTATTAATTTTCTGTATGGAAATATAACACATCTTGAACACTTTCTTACATCTAACACTAAGTTAAATTTAGATGAGTTGAGCCTCTAATCTTGAAAGGTAAATCAGTAATACTTCTCCAGGATTACATAGGGGAATATATTCATAGTTTCTGAGAGGAAAGATATCTTAAACACAAAACATCCACACAGCACAGGCACACGCACACCCCCACACATAAATGTTAATTTGGACTCCATTAAAATCAAGAACTTATGTTTATCCTAAGACACTATTAAGAGGTTTATTTCCATATTAAGATACAGTAATCTTATTCCACCCTGTCTCTCCGGCTCAGTGCAGCTTTAAAACTCGGACACAATGAATGGGCTATTTGATATCTCTTGAAAAGTAAATTGCCAGTAGGTGAATTTAGACAAAAGACTTGAATTCAAAGTATCTGTGAGCCAGCATTGAGTTTATTTCTTTTTTCCCCTCTGTAATCACCAGTAACAGACTCATCACAGCCTAAAACCTGAAGAAGGATGTCAGTGTAGACAGAAAATGCTCCAGGAGAAGTTCTCTGCTCTGATACAAGAATCAATAAAGGAGTCTCCAAATACTCAGATAAATTGGAAGACCCATTTCTTGAGGAAAATTCTCTATTTCTAATTTTCACTCTCTTCTCTCTCTCCTTTTCTCTCTTTTTTCTTCTCTCTTCTCTCTGTCTCTTCTGTCTTCTTGCATGTTCTATATTCTTTAATGCCTCAGTCCAAGTAGGCCATAGGCATCTATTATAAAACTGCACAAGTGAAATTGTCCTCTTTGATCAGACAAACTATAGTACAAAGAGAGTGGGACAAATTTCTTGTGCCTTTTATCTTGGTATGTCCTCCCACTACTTGGTCCTGTATATGCTAAGGGAAATGCCCCCACAGTGTAGTATAAGTAAAGCTGAAGCTCTGTGGTGGGAAGGCAGGAAGGAGAGAAAACTAAGTAAATTTAATGTACTAGGGAGATCATTGAAAGGGAGGAGCTCAAGGAAGTGGCTGCATAAACTTAATACTAAACTCCTGAGCTTATGATGAAGGAGCATATGTTTAGACATGACCCTAACAACGTATCATAGATTGTGAGAACTGAACTATGGATAGTTTACTCATGACCTAAGTTAATCAGCATACAATAAATTCCCATCAATTATGATGACATATGTAAGTTAAAATTAACATGATAGAAAAAAGGATGCACCATATAAAGACTAATCAAGGGAAGGTGTAGTGGCTATATTAACATAGAGTAGACTTAAGAATAAGGAAAATTACCAACATTATAGAGTAACATTACATAATGATAAATGTATCTATTTACCTAGCAGATACAAAATTTACCTAGCAATTTAAAATGTGTATTCACCTAATGGCAGAGGTCAAAATTAATAAAGTAAAAATAGAATTGACTGGAGAAGTAGAATAATCTACAAGTTGAGATGCACGTTTCAACATTCTGCTCTAAATTCAGTCGGATTAATAACTAGAAAATCTGAAAGGATATAGAACTAAATACCACCACCAAACAGGATCTAATAAATTTTCATAGAGCACTATGCAAAAACAGCAGAAAACTTTACAAGCACCCAGAGATCACTCATCAAAGCAGACCGTACCTAGGGTCATAAAATACACTTTTAAAAATTTTAAAACATTTGAAATCATAAAGACAGGTCATTTGACCATAATGGAATTAAACTAAAAATCAATAACATAAAGATAACAGAGAAATCCTAAAAACAAGGAAAACAATAACAACAAAGCAACAACCTTCTAAATAACCCACAGATATATAAATAAGTCTTGAGACAAATTAGAAGGCATTTGAACTAAATAAAAATGAAAATATTGCATATCTACATCTGTGGGATACAGCTAAAGCAGCCTTAGAAGGAAATTTATTGCATTAAATGCTTAGATTAGAAAAATATATATATTAGAGAACTAATCTGAGCTCCCATCTCAAGAAATTATAAAGGAAAGAATAAAATAAACCCAGATGAAGCAAAGGGATATATTAAAGATCAGAAAAAATTAAATAAGAAGTAGAAAATTAAGCCAAACGCTGGCTTTATAAAAAGATGAATAAAATTGTTAAATCTCTAGCTATACCGACAAAATATAAAGAAGAGACAAATTACTGAGATATACCAAACATACCTATTGAAGTGGCGAAAAAAAAATTGCTGGTAATTCAAAGTGCTAGTGAGAGTAAAGGGCAACTGGAATTCTCCTGTATAGTGGTGATGCCACTTTAGAAAAGTATTTGGCAGTTTCTAATAAAGTTCAATAAATGCATCATATAATCTAGTGATTTGACCTAATGATCTAGGTATTTACCCGAGTAATGAAAATTTGGTTCACATAACAATCTGTTAAAGAATGTTTATAGCAGATTATATTCATAATCACACAAACTTAGAAACAATCCAAATGTTTTTCAATAGGACAATGCATCAACAAAATGTGACACTACTCAGCAATAAAAAGAAATAAACTACTGATTCAACAATGTGAATGAATCTCAAATCTCAAATTATGTTTAGTGAAGGAAGCCAATGTCAAAAGGTTACATACTGTACTGTTCTGTTCACAAGATTTTCTGAAAGAGGAAAATTGTAGTGATGCAGAAACAGTCGATGTTTTTAACAGGTTAACTACAGGAAAAATTGTGACTAGAAAAAAAGCAAGGCCAGCACGGTAGCTCACGCCTGTAATCCCAGCGCTTTGGCAGCCTGAGGCCGGCAGATCACCTGAGGTCGGGATTTTGAGATCAGCCTGACCAACATGGAGAAACCCCGTCTCTACAAAAAATACAAAAAATTAGCCAGGTGTGGTGGGCTGTAATCCCAGCTACTCAGAAGGCTGAGGCAGGAGAATCTCTTGAACCTGGGAGGTGGAGGTTGCGGTGAGCCGAGATCGCGCCATTGCCCTCCAGCCTGGCAAGGAGAAGGAAACTCCGTCTCAAAAAAAAAAAAAAAAAAAAAAAAGTAAAAAAGAAAAAGGAGTTGTTTGGGGTGATGAAACTTTTCTGTATGTTGGTTGTGCAGGCTATTACTATTACACAGATATAAACATTTGTTAAAGTTCATAAACTGTGCACCAAAAGTATGTCTATATTATTCTATGTAAATTTTAAAAATTTGATAAAGGTACTATGAAGAAAAGGAACAGGCAACCACAGCATAGTAATTTGTAACACATACAGAGAAGCACAGTTTTATATCTACAAAACAGGGAAAAAGAGTAAAGCAAATCATTGAATTAGTTAAATATGATCTTTGAAAAATAAGATACATTCATTATTTTTATTTTTATGGTTATTTCTTCTCTCCTCACAACAGAATTTTAGGCTCATGGTAATGATGTCTATGTCTAATTTATCTGTAAACCTGACCAAATTTTCTAGAAAAGTGACTAAATTACTGGTACAAACTACGAAGCATTTAAACTTTTTAAACCAATGAATGGATTTAGCGAGTTATGTGTAGCTCTATGTTCTCCCTAAGCTCTCTGTACCCCCACACACTGAAGCAATGCAGTGGAAATTGCACATTTATGAAAATATGATGCCCCTTAAAATTCATTATTTATCTTACAGCTCTGGCCTTAACCATAAGAGAGCACAGAATCATTAAATAGACATACAAACAACAAATACTCAAAATAAAAAAATACCAGTGTTAGCTTTTGTATGACTGTCATTCCCCAAGTAAAACCTTATTAGAAGCAAAGGTCTTGCACTGCATGATACGCTGTTATCCTCAAGCTCCCCATCCTGCAGATGGGCTAGTGTTACAGTAAAATCTAGAGTTGGGAAGAACAGGTTTTTTGTTTGTCTGTTTTAAGTTATACATGCTAGAAATAATTCATTTCTTGGAATTGAACTCCTATGTAAATACTTTCCAACTGTGAGTGTATATTAGAAACCCAAAGAATCTCTAAAGATTCTGATTTGAGGCTGTGAGGTGCATCCCAGGACATTTCAATCAAGTTCTCATTTTCATGCAGATGATTTCTGAAATATGCTTTCAAAACCCTCATTCTGTTTTGGTATCTATAAAATAATTTAGAAATGGTTATAAAACCTAAGTCTGGTACTCTCAGTTTTACTTCTGGAATTTCCCAGAGTTGTCCTTGCTTTGGGCTTATCTTCCTATCCCCTAGCAACCAATAGATGATAGCAAGATCTATCAAATATACCTATAAATTGTCTAGGATGTTCAATATAACAAATAACTGAAAACATTCTGACTGAGACTGGGACTACATTCAACATAAAAATGCTTCTCCTGAATTGCATGATGGAGAAATGTTTCTGAGAAGTCTTATAAAGGTCATTTTTTAAATGCCACAATACCACATATCTCTTAGATGTGGATGGTTTTTCTCACAAGCATTACGTGTAAATTAAGTCTGATACTGAAAAAGATCCTATAGGAAACGTCTATTTTATTCATGTGTTCCTTTATATTTGAATTATTTTTACTCGGTTTCTACGAAAATTCATTTTACAGATTTTCTACTTGCATAGAATGTATGGAAATTAATTATGAATACACTATGTCTTAGAATAGATTTTTAAATTTTTAATAAAAGGAATAATTTCAAAGCTTGTATTGAAACAATTGACATTAACTTTTGGGGAAAAAAGGGTAGAGGACTATGAATATCTTTCTCTCTGAGGATAAAGCTTAATATTTTCTGTAATAAATTAGTAAGTACTTAGTAATTACTTTCACTTAAAGCAATACTTATCACTTCAAGCAATACTTATCACTTCATTCTAATGATGTTGCAGCTTTATTTTAGGGATGACAGTATGTACTATCACCATTTTAGTGAGAAATCCACATATATTTACATCAAGTATTTGTTACAGAAGCCAAATAGGAGAGAAAAAAAGAAAAAGCAAGATGCATTGAATTGTTTAAATGTGCTCTTCTTAGATTTATTTCAAGTAAACCTGTTGGCTTTTTTGGCTTCCACTTTGCTAAATATTATTTAAAAATTTATTTAAACACTGGTTTAAAAATGTAGATTTACATTAAATGTTAGTTAATGTTAGTTGGCTCTGATGATTTTAGAAATCATTTTGTTCTTTGTGTATTCAAATAATGATACATTCACAAATTTGGAAACTCAGCCACTTTTCCTTTTGTCCCACATGTAAATAAAACAATATTTACAGTCAATTTGGCTCACTTATTTACCTCCTTAGTTTTGCTACATGACTGTCATGACTGTGAAATCAAGTTTCTACATTTAGTATTTTATGGTTAATTTTGCAACTTTCACTTAATTTATAATCTTTTCACTGTTTTTAAAGTTTTTTTTTCCAAATTCCAGATTCAGGTATACTCAATAAAAGTATACCTACATTATTTTAACAAAATTGGTTATTTATTGTCCCATTAATCTTTGAAGTTTTTAATAATTTTAGATTAATTACATAACAAAAGGGTGAATCCCAACAAATATTTAATATGTAATATATAACAGCTACAATATTTCCTTTTTTAAAATAAAATCTTTAGTTTATGTGAAATTAAAATTTAGAGCTTGAATGTATTGTGGTATAACATTTCAAAATGATAACATGACAAGAGAATATTTTATCTATTACTTCCTAGTACATGATTTTTAAATACCATTTATTTTGATAAACTCCAAAAACAATTAGCTGAGGTTCCTGAAGCTGAACCAGAAGCAGTCATCTTTTCATATTTTAGTGTACAAGCACAGCATAATAAGTTTTGAACACTGAATGACAACTGATATTAAAAACTTCCAAAAATGTAATGTTAGAGATAAAATAATTGTTGACTTGGTAGCTGATGTCCAAACAATTCATTTAAGGGAAAATATAAAGGAAGAGTACAAATTGATCATGAAAGGAAAGAATTTTTATTTCAAGAAGTAAAGTTTTAAAAATAATTATTCATCTTAAAATTATGAACTTTCATTTGCTGAAGTGATATATAGTTTTTTTGAATGAGGTCTGACTTGAAGAGAAATAGGAGGAAGAAGGAAATTTGTGTAGTCCATTCAGTTGCTAAATAATCATTGTGTTTCCCAGTGTAGATTCTAAAACTTGGAGAATTAACTCTCGGAAAACATGTCATGATCTCACTTAATATTCTCACAAAATTAATATAAATATTAAATTTGTTTTATCAAACCTACAAAGGATTTTTTTTTAAGAATAAAACAGGGTATCCTTGAGGTCAGATTACTAACAAAATGTTTTAACTTGTAGGTTTAAAATATATATTCCCAGTGGATCTTACAAATCACATGTAGGAAAGAGTTATGATTTATTTAGTACCCAGATGTTTTAATAAAACATGTTTGTTTAAACATTAACCCTCTCTTTCTCACCTTCTCTCCCTCATTCCTTTTGTAAGCCATATAATGTACTCTTGAATTAGGTATAATCTAGTTTATAGAGAAATCTCAAAGATAGCATATATTTAAAATGTTATTTGTATTTCCAATCTAGTTGTTCTATATCATATTCTCATTCCTTAAATTATTATCTGGACAAATTCCATAACTTTTGGGTCACTTTTGCTTATGAAAACTAAAGTCTAATACACAACTTTGTCTCAAACTCAATTTAGATTTCATATAGTCTCACTCCCTCAAAGGCAGGCTTGAACCCATGCCCTTAGTTTAATAGTAATAGTGGTTGGGGAGATAAAAGGGTAAGACTTTAGGACACTCAAACCCTTCCCTTTTGAATACCAATCTATTTTGATATTGAAGGTAAGGAGTGGAAGGCAACATACATAGTTAATAGAAAGCGTCACTAATCATGGAAACAAGGTATCTCAGTTCCAGCTCAGCTCAGATGTCCATCTGATGCCATCTGCTGCTGGTACTCTATACTGATCTGGAAAATATGTTCACTTCACAGGAGCCATAAACACTAGAAAATTCTTTTGCAGTCTCCAACTAAACTAAAATGGAGAGAGTTCTATGGTCTTCTTATTGTTTATATGATTGTAGGTATGTCTCTCATCTTCAGTAATTTTTACATCAGAATCGGCCCTCAGTCTCTATGTTCATGTATATTCCCAAACATTAAGAGAAACTCCCTGTAGATCTCTGAGAATAATCCTACCAAATTCCTTTTTCTTAGAAGTTCTAGAGTGGGTCTTCATACGTAGCATCTCATAAAGCCACAAGCTAGATTTGACACAGGGCAATTCTTTTGATACTGAGTTAGGTATTCCTTCTGTCTTCTTCATGGGGAGAAGAAAAATAATATTTGGACAGTTCATAGCACCATTACCCTCCTCTACTTTTTAAGGATTGAATTAGAAGTAAAGGGTTGATGACTAGGGATTATTTAAATGTCATAGAGATATTGTGGTAGCTCTATTTAACATGTTAAGATCTTTGAACATCATGTATTTCCTATGTTGGAACTTAACATCATAACATCATGTTATTACATAAACTATTATCTTACACAAATCAACATGTGCCTTCATAACAATATGTAACAATCAATAAAAATATCTGAACTTGTGACCAAATAAGTCAATAGAGTAAACACTGAGCAACAGTATGATTTTTTCTTCAGTAAATGTCATCATAGAAAATTTGAGACTTCTTTTAAGACTGCAACTCAAAGAAAAATTTATCGCCTGACATGAATACAAAAATAATGATGAAAAATGTTTTATGCTACTACTTTATAAAATAAGAAGTGAAGTCACAGTAATATAAAATAGTATATATGTGAATTATATATCATTATATTTAAATATAGGAAAGATTTATATGAAAGTCTTGAGTATTTTTAAAATTTTTTTCAGTTTTTAGTTTTTACTATTTTTTTTTTACAGATGGGGTCTTACTTCATTTCCCAGGCTGGAGTATAGTGGCATGATTCTGGCTCACTGCAGCCTCAAACTCCTGGGTTCAAGCAAACCTCCTACCTCTCTGCCTCCCAAAGTACTGGGACAGGCATGAGCTACCATGCCTGTTTCTATTTCAGAGATTTAATGAAATATAATTTAATTAAACTTAGTTTAAAACCAAAAATGCTAAATATATGCCAAACAGTATGTTATTAGTATAACAAGATAAACACAATATATCTTACAATCTATGAATTCCATCTAGTGAAAGGACCAAAGATGCTAATACTAATCATACCTCAGATTAATAATTTATATTAAAAATATGAAGTTGTGAGATCTGTATCTCTGGAGGTGAGCCATATTTATCATTGCTGTCATTCATTTCAAAGACGGGAATGTCAGAATGTCTTGTGCGGGGTCTAGGAACAAGGAAAAAAGGAGAGGATGGGCACTTTGTCCAAAATATATTATTGTTTGTCTTCTCCACATTTAACACTACCATTTCCTAAAAAATGAGGTTATATAAATGTTCAGTACTCATACATTGTTTATGTTGGCTAGGTGCAATTTGCATTCTAGTTTGAAAGATATTAAAGTGTGCAACCTGGAGTAAAATAAGAATTCGTGAAAAAAAGAGGGAGGTAGGTATGTTAAGCAGGTGTGCAGCAGATAAAAATACATAGAACCAGAAAAGTGTTGAACATTAGAGATACAGCTAACAAATCTGCCTCCTTATCATATTTATGTTTCTGCTTCAGCCTTACCCTAGCAGAAAGTTGTGATATAAGATATACAAAATTTCAATAAAGGTAATTCTTTATTTCATGAATGTACTATGCAGAATAATGTAAGAATATCTATGGAAGTCTCCTTCCATAGATAAGCAAAAAGTTTGTATCTTTACTTTGTGTGTTTGTTTTTGATCTCAGAGAAAGAGATGTTGGCAGAATGGGGACAGGAGGAAGAAGGAGAGAATACAAATGTGAAGAGAAAGAAGGGTCAGGACACTACCTACCAACTCCTATGTTGTTAAGTAAAAACTGAATAATAATTGAAGGAAATAGTAATAATAGTAAAAATAAGAAAAACAACTCTAATAGTGTCTGCATTTGGGAACTTACGTATTAGATGTTTTCAGTAGATGACCTCACTCTATAAAGCATAAACAACTCTTCAACACTCTATAGTAGATAATAATAGTATATGCACTTTGTAATAAATTTAGATTTAGAGAAGTTACTATCTTCTTTTAATGTTCCATACTTAACACATGGTGGAAATAGGAAAAGGACCAAGGAAGAAAATAAATACTCTGAACCATCCTCGCTGCAACTTGGTTCTTCATGGGTAAAAATAAGATTGTGCTTTGTTTTATTGGTCAGTTTTCTTTTTCTGGAAATGAAACTTGAGGTTTGTAATTTATCTCCTTTTGTTCTCTCTTAATTTTATTCACATTCATTCTCATCACTTCACTGAATCTGATTCCATCAAATGTTACCAATTATATACATCGTCCTAAATGTGATGGTCTATTTGCATGCTGGTTTTAATTGATTTATCAGAAGCATTTAATACAGATCTCTTCTCCTTGATACACTTACTTCAACTGACTTACAGCACTGAGAACACTTTTGAATTTTCTCTCATATCATGGGAGTTTCTTCTCATCTTTGATGTTACATGTTTCCCTTCTCTCTTACTTTTAAAATTGAAGGGGCCCAATGTCAAGTTCTTGAGGATCTTATCCATCCTCATGGCTTAAATACCACCCATAAATTTACAACTCTCAAATTAATATCGCCAACAAAGCCTTCTTAAATGAATTCCTGACCCTTACACACAAAACCTATATCCATCGCCATTTGGTTTTCTCTTAGATACATGCAATTTAACATGTTCAAATACGAACTCAGGATTATTAAATCTCATCTACCTGCAGCCTTCACTGTCTCAGCTGATGGCAGATTTTTTTTCTTTTTTTAGTTTTTTAGTACAAGAAAAATCTTTATTTCATCCTAGAATGTTTTAAAACAAACAAACAAAACACCAAACAGTCAGCGAAATGAGTAAAATTGCTAACCAAACCATCATAAAATCATGCTAGCTCTACATTAAAATATATCAAATTTCAAGCACTTCTCTCCGTCTCCTGAAACCACTGGTCTGAGCCATCATCTCTCACTTGGATTTCCATGATAGTCACATAAGAGTTTTCTCTGCTAATATCCAAGGACTTAGACCTCTCAAAACAAGCTGCCAAAGTAAGCCTTTTAGAAGATAAGTCAGAGCTATCTCTCTTCTAAGAACTCTGCATGGCTACTCTTTACATTCAGTATAAAAGCCAAGATACCCATAATGCTGATAAGTAGGGTGACCATATAAGTTATGATTCAATCCAGATTAGTGAGTGAAATTGTTTATAGTACTAATGACAGAACAATATACCTAAAAATAAATTGGCATGAACAAGTAGGATATTTCATCACCCTACTGTCAAGGTGCCTTATTATTTTCCCCCGTTACCTTTCTGACCACTGTTGCCATCATTATCCTCTCCTGTACTGAATCTGTTCTCATTAAAATGGCTTACTTGTTCTTCCTCAAACCCACCATGCAGCCAGGCACACACCTACACCGCAGAGCCTGCACAACCACTGTTTTCTTTATACTTAGAATCTTCTCATCCCAGGAATTCACAAGGATTACTACCTCACGTCCTTAAAGTCTTTGCCTAGACCTGGGCTCTCCTATGATTCCTACCCTGAATATCTCATTTCATACTGAAATCTATCCCTCAACATTACTATATGGCTGGGAAATTTAAACGGGATCAATTATAAACCTAACAAAATACCCAGTATATAATAAACAAACACTAGCTACCACCACAAGCAGCAATATTATAACTGGATATTCACTTACCAAATAAATGTATTTTGAAAATAATTAAAGTATGATAGATATATTTCAAGATTAACTACTATATATTTACCAAATTATTATCAGGCTATTAATGCTCAACATTCCAAGAGATGAATTTAGATACATTTTCTAACCCCTTGGATTTAGGGGTATAAGTCATTTCTACAATATGAACAGTAATAGATAAAAGTGCCTTAAATGTTAGAATGATGACAATCCTAACTCTGACATATATCTAGATACATGATTTGTAAAACATATATTCTTTTAAAAGTAAACTAAGAGGTTTAAAAATATTTTCTCAAGCAACCATATTTTTGTACTATATTCTTTTAAAATGTACATTGCATTTTCATGTCATAAAACTGACTGAATTTTATCAATCTGTATTTTTGAAACCAATCCAAATATATGCATTCAATTTGCCAAATAATACCTACCACATAAAAGACATCCTCATTATTTATAATTTAAAATTAATTCAAGTTCATAAAAATAATAACATATAAGTGAATATGTTAACAAATTCAGGATTTTTCTCTAGGGAAATATGCTAAAACTTAGAATAAGTATTTTAAAAAGTCTTTTCTTTTTAAAATAACAAATGAAATTGATTTTAAAATAGATATTTACAAAATTGATTGTATATTTAATGTATGCAGTATGTATTAGTATGAAATGACAAACCTGTAGTCTTTGAGATTTCAATGAGCAAAAGGGAATATTAACCAATGATGTATTTTCAAATAAGTAGTTCACTCAGCAGATATTTGCACAAAACCTGTAATATCAAAACAAAGTAATAGGCATTTATATTCCAAATAAAAAATAATTTATTTGCTTAAATTCTACATTTACAACAAAGTTTAGCCAACGAGTTAACTTAATATCTTCTATTCAAGTCTAATATTTCCATGCAATGTTTGCCCTATGTAAGGGGAAGCTCATATTTAGGTGTTTTGTTTCATGATATTTAAGCCTCTTTAATCTACCTGCTTTCTAACTTTCTACATAATTTTCTTTGTACCATTCTCAAGAACTTCCTTATAAACTCTTACAATTTTTCAAGAAATTAAACCATAGTTTCCTAACAAAGAAAAAAATTTGAGAACAAGCATAACACAAGCAGCCCTTTCTGTTTATCTGAACATTACTCATGACCACAGGTGCATTTAAAGTTTTCAGTAAATAATTATCTAAAATATAAAAGTAATAACGAAATATAGATTTAATATTTGTATTCCATTAGACATTAAAGAATCTTTTTTGTTTCATTCCTTCAGTAAGAGATCTTGGGAATCATTTTGGCTATAATATTCTTTTACTGTACACTCTTAGACAAGTTATCTCAGTTTCCAAATAGAAGTGCAAAGACAATGAGTCCTCACCGGAGTTTTGTTAAAAAATAATGAGGTATAATATTTAATCATCAAATTTCTGAGAAAAATAATTATCATTGTTTACCATCTAGGTCCCATAGAACATTTTTGTTTAATGTAATGCTCTCATTTTAAGTCATTTATAAGTAATTTACAAATACAAGGAAAAGACAGTAAAATAAACTAGTAAATATTAATAAATTTTAAACATAGTAAAAGTCTTTCATGCAGTAAATTTTTGTGCACAAACACCATGGATGATAAAATAGTATTGTCACACACTCTTTTAACAAAATGGGATTATCCAGGTTCTTATTCCAAACTATTGTGTGAAGTCCTTTGACTAACTGGGTGAGAATACTGTATTTACACTTTGTCTTTGGAAATAACTTGTCATTGGTTCTTAAATTTGAGAATGTTCATTTCAGTCATCATAATCTGAAGACATATAGTCAATTTAATTAATATGATAAATTTTATTATATCTTTAAAGTCTAGAATGCTGCTATCTTGTTCTTTGCATTTATCTTCTAATTAAGTTAATCTTATAACTTTCTTTGCCATCATGAAAAACAAAAACCTCTAATTTTCAACTGTGTTAACTTAAAAGCAGACCACAAAGATGGTGTCTCGAGTATTTTGAATATCTTACTGAAAGATGATGCCATATTTTGGATAACACAATAACAAAAGAAAGAACAACAATTTATTCCATGATTGCATCTTGCTCCTTAGTGATTCCATCATTCCTTTTTTTCTTATTACAGTCTTTTTTAGCATAATTGAGAATAATCAATGAACCATCATGAGTCATGATAAGATAATTCTTAGGATGATAAAATAGAAAATGTTTTCAAAATATAGATAAAAATAAGATCCTGATCTCATAATTCATTTTGGATTTATAACAATTCAATGGATCCAAATGGTAATTGTAAAATAGAATAAATTATAATCTATTAAAATCAACAAAATTTAATTTTTTGTTGCTTGTAAGAACTCTAAGAAAGAATGAAAGTTATGAAATATAGATATTAAAAAAACTGCTCCAAAGAAGCAAAAAAAAGTCTAATTAATTATATAACAAGGGTGAATCCACTTGGTATATTACATATGCACAATAAAACAAAGCCTTATTTTCTCTTTTTACTATGCTACTCCTTGATTTATTGAACCATGCAGAAAGGGGTTGGGGTATAGAAAAACAGTAGAAAGAAAAAGAAGTAACATGATATCTGTATATTTAAATAGTATAAACAGTAAAATAATATAAATATAACACATAAAATTACTCTTTACCATTTGATATATACAGTACTATTTATATTTATATATACATAGGTAAATATGTATTATTATTCACTATTTTATAGGTATACATTTGTGTATATATATTATATATTTATACACACACATACCACTTCCATTTTTTAGTTTATGCCACAAAATGTACATATTCTCAACTGTCACTTTAAGATGTTAGGTTGGTTTTGCTGTAATATCTGCTATTTTACATACTAGTTTTGATATGCATTGATCTTTGAAAATAAAACAATTTATTAAGCTGACTTCACAGGATATAAAATGGATTAATGCAAGAGGAAACCACTGCCTGTACACTAACTAAAATCTCAAAATATAAATGGTAGCTTCAGTTTTCAGTAATCACTTTATGTGTTGATATTACTGATCCCAGCTGCCTATGACTTTGATTATGTCTATAAGCTATCTTCCAAAAATCAATTTCTAATAAAGCGAATTAAGACTCATTCATATTAGCTATGGAAGAAGAAAGAAATACCTGTTTTGCCTCCAGGAGTGGAGAAAGAAGTCATTCCACATTTATTTTCAATTACACAGTGTATTTATGGCTATGATATTCATGAAAACATTTTGATTTAGATTGGCATTGCCATCTCCCTTTTCTAACTACAAGTGAACCGTTAGAAGACCAAATTGAGGCTGAATCTGGAGGGCATGGTGCTAAGTAAAATAAGCCAGGCATAGAAAGACAAGTAGTGCATAACCTAACATATATGTGGAATCTAAATAAATCAAACTCATGGAAGCAGAAAGTATAATGGTGGTTACCAGAGCCATGAGTGCGTGACAGTGAGAGAAATAGAGAAGCAACAGCAAATCAACCCCAAAGCTAGCAGAAGATGATCAATAATTGAAATCAGAGGTTAACTGAAGAAAATCAAGACAAACAAAACATTCAAAATATTAACAAATCCAGGAGTTGGTTTTTTGAAATCTTAGTAAGATAGATAGGCCACTACTTAGACTAATAAAGAAGAAAAAAGAGAGGGTCCAAATAAGCACAATGAGAAATGACAAAGGAATCGTTACCACTGACCCGACAGAAATGTAAATAAGCATCAGAAACTACTTTGAATGCCTCTATGCCAACAAACTAGAAAACCTAGAAGAAATGGATGAATTCCTGGCCATAAACAATCTCCCAAGACCGAGCCAGGAAAAAAATGATTCTCTGAGCAGACCAAAAAGGAGCTCCAAAATTGAATCAGTAATAGTCTACCAACAAAATTTTATTTCAAGGTAATTTAAGGCATGTTTCATGTTTACTTTGTTTCCCTGATTAAGTCATGTACATCATCATATGACTTATAATCATATGATGGAGGATAAGTAATACATTTTTGCTGATTGTCAATAGTGCTTTTGGATAAACATTTAAATTAGACAGTGGTAAAAGTGGACCATTAAGTCTAAAATAAAATCAGCAAAGATAAATCTAAAATTTGTAACATTTTTATTTTATTTATTAGAGACAAGGTCTTCCTGTGTCACCCAGGCTGAAATGCAGTGGCAGGATCATAGCTTATTGCAGCCTCAAACTCCTGGGTTCAAGCAATCCTCTAACCTCAGCTTTCCAAGTAACCAGGGTTACAGATGTACACTACCATGATTGCAAAATTTAATTTTGTATTTTTTGTAGAGTCAGGGTCTGGCTATATTGCTCAGGCTGTCCTTGAATTCTTGGTCTTAAGCCATTCTTTTGCCTCGGCCTCTAAAACGCCCAGATTACAGGCATGAGTCCTCATGCTTAGCCTACTAGCCTAAAAAGGGCAACCAAAAAAAAAAAAAAAAAAAAAAAAACTGCTTGAGATGGAAATTCCATGAAAATGCCAATTTTAATCTATTCCTTTCACAAGAAATCTAGAATCCCAAAGATTCTCAGTGCAAATATCTACGTTACTTAAAACATATCCTAAAATAAATGGCATATTTTAATTAAGAAATGTTTGTCATGTAAACTTATTTCCAATATGTGTATGTCAGGTATGTTAAAAATAACACTGAATATATTTTTATTTGTTTGAGCATATGTGTGTGGAGGCACATGAATTGGTGAAGTCTTAGAGAAAAGCAACCTCACATTTTAACATTGAATAAATTCCCAAAATTTATTTTAATTTGATCATTTAGAACTCTGTACATATATTCCCTCAGAGTCTTTATTATGTCTAATGATTGCATTCAAGTTAATCCTTGATTTTTTAAAAACGTAATTGTTTGAAAACTCACTATCAATATATTCATGGAAATGTAGAGTATAAGCTTGATTTATGCATTGATTAATAATTCAGCTACTTGGTTAATATTTTTGAAACCTATTTATTTCAAGCACTATCTAGACAGATACAGTCAATGTTGTTAAAATTTGCCATTTAAAAGAAACTTTAAAATATCACATTAAATATTTTGCTTTGTGCTTTGACATAGCCTCAAATGGAGAATTGTTCTATTTTTTCCAATGTCATATCACAAATATTTTTTTTTCTAATCTGCTTTCCTTCACTTCCTTTTGCTAAAATATTTTGGAAACACCAAATTCCTTTTCATATATTTTACTAAAGCTTAGACCAAGCTTTATAAACTATGAACTGCTTATTTAAGAGGGAATGTGTAATTATAAATGTATTATAATTTATTAAGTGTTTTCTATGGGATAGACAACATTTGTTGGGGAAACCAGCCCCACACCAACCAGCGGGTATCCCAAGTCCAGCAGAGACAAAGGAGTTAGAAAGAGACAGAATAAGAGTTTAAAAGGTGGGTCCAGGGGACAGGAGAGTCAGAGGCTTGCTCATGGGCCAGAGCTCTTCCACTTCACCTAATTTATTGGTTTACAAGCTCTTTGTTCTTAGGGCAGATGGGAGAGGTAAGAAGGGATGGAGGAAAAGGATTAATCAATGAAGGAGAACTGGTGAGTCATTCAATAAGATGTATAGCAGTGGCAGTTTCTGTGAATTTCCTTGAGCAAAGGCATGTGTCTAAACTACTTAAAATCTTTAACTTATCAGGGCTGAAATGGGTGGGAGTGGGTTTCAGGAGAAGCCAAGATGTTTGATTATACTCCACTGCTTCAAGGGTGTGTTATCTCCCTGAGCAACCTGTGGAACGCCGCGGAGCTGTCATGCTCTCCAGGCATAAAGACATGAAGGCAATAAAGAGACTTTTCTCCTCAGAGGCCGCTCATGGCTCCCCATGGTTGTCTCACACAGGACAGACCAACTCATCTGGCTTCCCAGAAACTCTCTTTCCCACAACCATTCTAAGTGTTACTTATTTACTGAATCCTCAATCATAACCTTATGAACTAGATAATTTTCCTTGTTCAGGTGCAGCAACCAAGGCACAGAGATTTTCTCACCTGAAATCACAGAATTACAATAAGTTAATCGCAAAATTACAATAAGTTAAGTAAATATATTCAGAATCCTAGACAGGCCCTTTTGGAATGTCTTGTGAATCTACAGACCCCTTTCTTAACCACTATAACTATACCTTACTAATTTGCATACGCATATTGTAGAAAAACATACACCCCCCCACACACACAGTAAGAAAGAGAAAAACAGACTGAAAGAAAAATTAAAATATATGTAGAAGCTCTATTTCCTTGGTTTCACGTATTTGATTATTGTGACATTTCCTATGTAAGTGCATCCCATGTTCTCTAGAAGTGGATGCTAAGTCAGAGTTTCAGCTGTAAGACTTTATTAGTGATCAGCACTTATGAGTGGGGGACAAGGCTGAACAGAGAAAGAACATTGACTGTGGTATAGTTCTGACAATGGCTTTGCAAGAAGTGTCCCATTGCAAAAGTCCATCTAATTAATTTATTTGTTTCTTTCTGATACCAACTGTCACAGGTTGGATTCTGAAGAAAGAGATTCTGAAATAGTTCGGAGTGTGTATTAATTTGCTAGAGTTGCCACAACAAAATACTACAACATAGGTGGCTACCACAGCAGGCATTTCTTTTCTCACAGTTTGGCAAGCTAGAAGTCCAAAATCAAGGTGTCTGCCTGGTTGGTTTCACTGAGGCCCTCTATTTGACTTGTAATATGGCTGGCTTCACGTGGTCTTCCCTATGTTTGTATGTGTGTTCTAATCTCCTCTCTTTAAAAACACCCCAGGAATATTGTATTAGGGCTCATCATAATGACTTCGTTTATCTTTAATTACCTCTTTAAAGACTTTCTCAGAAATGGTTACATTTGAGGTGTGGCAAGGGGGATTTGAACTTTAAAATATGAACCTTGATGGGAAAACAAACTTAAGCCCCTAATAGAGTACAAGGCATTTACTAGAAATAAACACCTTTGAAAAGAAAGAAGCAGCAGTATTGGACACAGTGAAAAGTGGAACTTTGTCGTAGGTCCAACAAAGCCTCAGCCAAGTCAGTTACGTGCCAACTTGGGAAGTGTGTGACTTCAGAAGAGGAACATCGTTCTAGAGTCAGCCCAGGATGACTCTAGAAAGGCTAACAGCTGGTGGGTCTCTGCTAAACACACTCCTTGTATTTGTGTATAATTTTTAAAACTTTGGTTCTCAGTGGCACTTGTCTGTGTCTACTACACTCCACTTTGTGGATGAAAATATATTCAAGTAAATAAATATGCTCTCGGTGCTTAATATGTTAAAAGTACTACATTTAGCCTTATAGAGAAATAAAATCATAGTTTTGCAATTATACTTGCCTTACATTTTCCCCCAAATCTCTAATGAATTCAGATATGTACAAATAACAGTACAAGGTAGAATGTATTAAGTGCCACAAGAGGAATATAAATAAATTTTTAAAGACTTGAGTAAATGAAAATAATTTTATTCCAATTTAGAAACTCTTTCTTAGAAACAATGAGATATGATCTAGTCTTCTGTAGTTATGACTATTTTGTATTATTTATTTTAACAAAGGTTAAAATAATTCAAATATAGAAAAGTACAAAAATGGTGTGATACATATTCATGTACACATTGACCCAGATTCAACCATTCAACCATTTTAACACACTGGCATAGTTGCTTCTAATTTCCCCCACCTCTCTATTGCTATCTCTGTGTGTGTGTGTGTGTGTGTGTGTGTGTGTGTGTGTGTGTGTGTGTGTGTGTGAGAGAGAGAGAGACTTTCATTCTTGCCTCGTTATTTAAAGTTTAACATGAGTCTCTACCATTTCAGGAATATCTCAATACATTTCTAACTTACCTACCTCAGTGTTACACTTTATTCCTAACAGAAAATTATGCTACAATGTATGCTCCATGATGAAAATAATATAATGTGATAAAGAGAAAATTAGATTGTCAAAATATATGGTAAAAGAATAAGTTGAAAACTACTGGCTTGGTGCAGCAGTGCATGCCTGTAATCCGAGCACTTGGAAGTCAAGGCAGGTTAATCGCTTGAGCTCAGGAGTTTGAGACCAGCCTGGGCAACATGGTGAAACCCTGTCTCGAGACAAAAAACACAAAAAAAATAGACAGGCATGGTGGCTTGCACCTGTTTCCCAGCTACTCTGGAGGCTGAGGGGCAAGGATTTCCTAAGCCCCAGAAGTCAAGGCCGGAATGAGCTTGGATCACAACACTGCACTGCAGTCTGGGCAACAAAGTGAGACACTGTCTCAAAAAAATAAAAAGAAAAAAAAGAAGAATAGAAAAGAAAAAAAAAGTGAGAAGGAAGGAAGGCATTGAGAAATTTCTGTGCCAAAATCTGAGAAAGGTGAAAAGCCTAGAAAAATGAAATCAGGTAGCAGCTTCTTTGACCTCCTAAGAACATTATTTTACTCTAAATACTAAGTAGAACTTACAACACAGTCACTGGTCTGGCAGAAGAAAAATCAGAGTTGAGTTCAACACAAGATGGAGGTGACCTGGCAAAAATCCAAGGTTTTGGGAAGGAGTCTCAAAATCTAAATCTCAGTGGTATAAATGAAATGAAAATAGAAAAAAGTCTCACAAGAATAAAGCCCAGATTTCATTGCTCTCAGATTGACTAAAGGTGATCTGAGATTGCTAGTGTCACCAGAATAGCAGCTGCCTGCCATGAGAGAAAAATGTACTAATTGAGAGGAAGATGTAAACTAGAGCCTCAAATCTTTTATCCAAACTTTTTTCTAAATACAGTCCGGCATACTCACAAAATAAATAGACATATAAGATAAGACAACATGTCAGAATGAGAAAAAATATTTTGGTGAAAAGAAACTCAATTGACTACCCATAAATCCATATTTTCAGTACACAAAATAATAGATTTTGAAAAAATTATGATAAATATCTTCAAAACTAACAAATAAAAAACAGAAAAATTTGTAAAAAAATATAAAGATGAAGCTATCAGTGCAAAACAATTAAAAATAAAACCTTAAGGGATTCCTTGAAGCATATTAATTACATATTTAAAATTAATAAGAGGAAATAAAAATTCATAAGGCAGAGAAGCAAATTTGAGACTAAAGGCATAGCACAAATACCATTAAAATACTAGAAATAAAAGAGAGAAAGAATAGAGCCCAGGCATTATTTTACTATATATTGCACAATAAATATAACATGCATATCTATGTATCCACAAACACACACACACATATATACATACCTGTATGTGTGTGTGTGTGTGTGTGTGTGTGTGTGTGTGTGTATATATATATATATATATATATATATATATACAGGTTTATACATCTGTATACATATGTATGTATACACACACACATATACATGTATGTATATTTATATACACATACAACTGTATGTTAAATCATGACATAGATATTATAGTGGATTATTTATTTTTACTTTCTTGATACATTATTTGATATAATAAAGTGAAAAATCACATAAAAAGAATATGATAGAGAAAATAAACAGTGAAAAGAAAATTTAAATATATAGTTACATCACAGACAGTTCAGAGAATACCAGAATAACTTATATCAATAGGGCCACCTGAAAAGTACAACTATAAAACTGTAGAAAAGGTAAGAAGTAATGTTTTCAGGAACTAAAAGTATCAAGCCATAAGATAATGCCAGTCTTCCTGGCTGCTCCCAGTTTGTCCTTTAGCTATTTACTGTACCAGCCCTAGCTCATGATTTTGCGGGGGAGGTATGAATATGGACATCTTGCAAAATACTATAGATAAGTTAATTTTGAAAGCCTTGGATGTATAATGTGCACAGTGGTGGTAAAATTATTTGCTAATGTATAATTGTGTTATCCTAAAATTTTGTTTGAAAAATCCTAATTTCTTGAACCATGAGACAATCTTTCTTCTGATGAAAGTTAACGTGGTACCTCTTTTTTAGTTGGTGCCTTATCAAGAATGGTAATATTTTTGTTTGATTTTAGGCTTTTCAATGAACAGCTGAAATTATGTTTTAATATAAATATAGGTATTAGACCATGTTTTCAGCAGTATAGTGAGGCCAAGTTTTGTCAAATAGTTAACATTGAACTGAATGTATGGATAAAAATTTAGCTTTCTAGTTTATGAAAATGACTAAGAGTTAAAATATTTTTAAGAAGAAATGGATTACATATTTAAATAACTATTAAGAAATTATTCATGTAGCATAGTTTAAGAAACAAAATAACAAACAAAAATGTGCAAGATCTGGCAGCATAATATGGTGTTCTATGTATATATGAAATCAATGTATGTAAGGTGAAATTGAATGCAATGAATGGACACAGCTACCCCAAATAATGGAAGCCCAGGAGTTTCCATTAAGGATATATTCAGAAGTATTTTAAATGAAAAGTATTTATTTAAAGAGACATATAGCTATTTATATTTGTTAGAATTCTATGTCAGTGGGTAGTAGGAATCAACTCAGAATTTTGCATTCAAGCATAAGAAACTTAGGGAATAAATACTTTCTCTTGATCCATGAAGAGTAGATTTCTCTCAAATTTACCTTCTAAAATAGAAATAATGCTAAGAAAAGCAAGGAATAAAGAACAATTTGGTTTAACTCCTTACCCATTATAAGTATAAACAGTTCCAACAGCACTTGAAAAGTGGCTAAAATATTTTCCTTCTATGTCTAATTGTTTTAGTTTAGCTTAGCTTTCTTGTTTGAAAAATTTTAAATTAATTTCCAACACACACCTGAAGGAATTTCCAGGTTCCACAGAATCAGTTAAAATACTTTTTCCTTTTAAAAAGAAATGAAACAAAAGGAAAACATTTTTTGTGATATCTATTCCCACAAAATAATCCAAACAATTTACTATCTTGATGTATGAGATGTGACTATAATAAAGAGCAATTTTCATACCACTATGGACAACAACCCCATCACAGTCAAAGGGATGTTTTACAATGACACTACTGTTAACATTTCAAAAGAGATTAAAGAGCATTGATAAATAATAACTGCTCCTTTGAATATACCAACCATATTCCATCTGAGAGTTACCAACTAGCAAACAGTAATCTTCACACAAATGTTTATATAGCAAAGATTAAACACGATATTCTCTGGGCTCACTGACATGCATATCTCAGTGTGATATAAAGCCTCAACAAAGATTTTTCTGTATAAAATGAATAGACAGTTTTTCTTAGAAGTTTTAGATTACATGAAAGCAGAATAACACAATGGTGCTTACAGCAGGACTCAACAAAGTGATAGTCCCTGCTCAGGATTGGACAGAGATAAATGATCTTCAACTGTAAGAGTAAAATATTCCATTTTTCTCATGGATGTGCTGTATGTATTTACAATTAAAATCACAATAATAGAAACACTGAAATTTTACAAAAGTAAATATATATATATAGCTTACACAAATTATAAGCACTATCATTATTTAAGAATTAAAAAAATACTAAGTGCAGTCTAAGTTTCATGTGTGTTTTAGTTTTTCTTAACGATTCCAGTGGTATGAATGAATATATATATATATATATATATATATATATATATATATATGCTTTGAAAATTGATTTTCAAATACAAAATGGTTTGTTAAGATCCTATCCCTTGATCACATAAATATAAACAAAAATAGGTTCATTTACAATATTCATATGTTAAATTACACATCTTAATTGGTAGGAAATAGTCTTTCCTTAGGGAATTATTCTACATAATATTCCTAATTTTTCCAGAATGACTAAACTCAGAAGTTCAAGACATTTACTAAGCATGAGAATAAACAATATGATGAGGTTGTCTGACTACTTTCCAATTTACTTAGATTTTGAATGTATTTTATATATTTTATCTTTAGCAATATTTATATCATGTGTTATACTTCTCCCTCTACCAAGTAATCAATAACGAATTTCACTGGCTAATATTTTGTTATCTATAAAATATTCTGCAGAAATATGGTTCACCAAGAAAATTGTCAAAGGACTTCATTCAGTTCCCTCATTTTGAAAACACAATAATTTGTTAACAAACATGGCAAAGAATGTATAAATGTAAAATGTCATGTAAAGACCAAAGCAGTGACTGCAATATCTAATTGTCTCCAATGTTATATTTTCTAATTTTTTCAAGTATTTGCTTGTTAATAACACTTTCATCGAATGACTGTTATGAGTAAGAAAGACTGTTAAGGGTAGAGGACATCCTACTACATCTTGTGGGCTTAGCATATTGTGATTTATAAATGAAAGTAAATTTTGAGTTAAATGCAGTGCATACATTCCTCTAGTTCAATCTGTTAAGTAAAAGTTAACACTGACATATTTGCATACACTTTTGAATATGTATTTTTGAGTCACTAATATAAATAGGTACATGACCATATTGAACTCTTAATCAATGCAATATTTTGACTTAGATGAATGCAGAACTGTATGCATTTCATTCATAACTATTCCCAGTGCATTAACTCAAATTAGAACTCTATAATTATGTTAATAAAATTAGTACAGATTTAGTGTTAAAATATAATGAAAATAATAAAGAATCATAAGAAAATTATAAAAAAATTCTTTGTAACAGCACTACCTGAAGAAGAATAATAAGAAAAATTAGAAAATATCTTGAGACAAATGAAAACCAAAACACTGCAAACCCAAGTATGTGGGATGTAGCATAAACAATACTACAAGGGATGTATATAGTAATAAATGCCTACATGAAAAAAAAAAAGATCTCAAGTCAACAACCTACACTTACACCATAGGAAATAGAAAAAGAAGAATGAATTAGTCCATTTTCATACAGCTATAAAAAATACCCAAGACTGGGTAATTTTTAAAGAAAAAGAGGTTTAATGGACTCACGGTTCCACATGGCTGGGGAGTCTTCACAATCATGGTGGAAGGCAAAAGAGGAGCATGTCTTACATGGTGGCAGGTAAGACTGTGTGCAGGGGAACTGTCCCTTTATAAAACCATCAGATCTCCTGAAACTAATTCACAATCACAAGAACGGCACAGGAAAAACCCAGCCTCATGATTCAATTACCTCCAACTGGGTCCCTCTCATGACACACGGGGATTATGGGAGCTACAATTCAAGATGAAATTTGGGTTGGCACACAACCACACCATATCATTCCACTCCTGACCCCCTCAAAATCTCATGTCTTTATATTTTGAAACCATTTATGCCTTCCCAACAGTCCCCTAAAGTCTTATTTCAGCATTAACTCAAAAGTCCGCAGTCCAAAGTCACATCTGAGACAAGGCAAGTACCTTCCACCTAGAAGCCTGTAAAATCAAAAGCAAGTTAGTTACTTCCTAAATACAATGGGGGTACAGGCATTAGGTAAATACACCAATTCCAAATGGGAAAAATTGGCCAAAACAAAGGGGTTACAGGACCCATGGGAGTCAGAAATTCAATGGGGCAGTCAAGTCTTAAAGCTCTAAAATGATCTCCTTTGACTCCATGTCTCATTTCTAGGCCAGGTCAATGCAAGAGTTGGGCTCCCATGGCCTTGGGCAGGTCTACTGCTGTGGCATTGCAGGCTACAGCCCCCCTCCCAAATGCTTTCATGGGCTGTCAATAAGTGTCTGTGGCTTTTCCAGGCACATAGTGCAAGCTGTCAGTGGATCTACCATTTTGGGGCCTGGAGGACACTGGCTCTCGTCTCACAGCTCCACTAGGCAGCACCCTAGTTAGGACTCTGTGTGGAGGCTCAAACCCCACATTTCCATTCCACACTTCTCTAGCAGAGGTTCTCCATGAGGGCCCTACCCCTGCAGCAAACTTCTGCATAGACATCTAGGTGTTTTCATACATCCTCTGAAATCTAGGCTGAGGTTCCCAAATCTCAATTATTGACTTCTGTGAACCCACAGGCTCAACACCACATGGAAGCTGCCAAGGCATGGGGCTTGCACCCTCTGAAGCCATAGCTCAAGCTATACTTTGGACTCTTTTAGCCATATCTGTAACAGCTGGGATGCAGGTCACCAAGTCCCTAGGCTGCACACAGAAGGTAGGCCATGGGCCCATCCATGAAGACTTATTTCTCCTAGGCATTGGGCCTGTGACTGCAGGGGCTGCTGCTAAGGTGTCTGACATACCCTGAAGACATTTTCCTCATTGTCTCGACAATTAACATTTGGCTTTTTGTTACTTATTCATTTCTGCAGCTGGCTTCAATTTCTCCCCAGAAAATAGATTTTTCTTTTCTACTGCATCATCAGGCTGTAAATTTTTCAAACTTTTATGCTGTACTTGGTCTTGAACACTTTGTCAGTTAGAAATTTTTTCCACCAGATAACCTGAATCATCTTTCTCAAGTTCAAAGTCCCACAAATCTCTAGGACAGGGGAAAAATGCTACAAGTCTCTATATAGTATGAGTGACTTTTATTCCAGCCTCCAGTAAGTTCCTCATCTCCATCTGAGACCACTTAGCCTGGACATCATTGTCCATATCACCGTCAGAAATTTGGTCAAAGCCATTCAACAAGCCTCTAGGAAGTTCCAAACTTTCATACATCTTCCTGTCTTCTGAGCACTCCAAGTATCTAGGAAGTTCCAAACTTTTCCACACTCTTCTGTCTTCTTTGGAGCCCTCCAAACTGTTCCAACCTCTGCCTGCTACCCAGTTCCAAAGTCACTTCCACATTTTCTGGTATCTTCAGAGCAGTGTCCTACTCTATTTGATACCAATTTTCTTTGTTAGACCATTTCCATATGGCTTTAAAGAAATACCTGACTGGGTAATTTATAAAGAAAAAGATCTTTAATGAACTCACAGTTCCACATGGCTAGAGAGGCCTCAGACTCATGGTGGAAGGTGAAAGAGCAAAGACAAATCTTACACGGCAGCAGGCAAGAGTGCGTGTTCAGGGGAACTGACCTTTATAAAACCGTATCTCCTGAGATTTATTCACTATCACAAGAACAGCATGGGGAAAACCTGCCCCCATGATTCAATTATCTCCCACCAGGTCCCTCCTACAACATGTGGGGAATATGGGAGCTACAATTGAAGATGAGATTCGGGGTTGTGGGGGAACACAGCCAAATCATATTAAAGAACAAACTAAGCCCAAATTTAGTTGAATAATAGAAATATAATAATTAGGGTTGAAATAAATTTTTAAAATAGACAAACAATAGAAAAAATTGGTGACACTAAGATATGTTTTTTTGAAAAATTAATGAAAATGGCAAACATTAAGTTAATGAGAGGAGAGTTAAATAAAGAAAACAGAAATAAAAAGGGATCCAACTACTAAGAGCAACCATATGCCAACAAATTGGACAACGTAGGAGACAGTAATAAGTTCCTAGAAACATACAATCAACAAAAACTGAATCATGAAGAATTAGAAAATCTGAAGAAACCAATAACTATTAAGTAGATTGAATCAGTAAGCCAAACTTCCCAACAAAGGACCCAGGACCAGATGTCCTCATAGCTGAATGCTACCACATTTTAAGAAGAATCAAAAGTAATCATTCTCAAATTTTTCCAATATCAAAGAGGAGGACACACTTCCAAACTTATTTTATAATGTTCATATAACACTGGTAGTAAAGCCAGTGACACTACAAGAATGAAAACTGTAGGCCAACATTTCAGATAAACACAAATGCAAAAATCCTGATCAAAATACTAGCCAACCAAATTCAATAGAGATGAAAAGGAACATGCACCATGACCAAGCAGGATTTATCCCTAGGATGCAAGGATTGTTCAACATACAGAAATCAATCAATATGTTAGACCACATTAACAGAGTGAAGGATAAAAATCACATGATCCTCTCAATAGATGCAGAAAATATATTTAACAAAATGTTAACACTCTTTCATAACAGAAATATGAGGCAAAGTAGAAATATAAGGAATATATTTCAACATAATAAAAGTCATATATGACAAACCCACAAATAATATTACTTGGAATATTAAAAAACAAAGTTTTTCCCTAAGATCAAGAAGAAAACTAGGATGCCCACTCTCACCACTCTATTCAACATAGTACTTGAAGTCCTAGCCAGAGAAATTAAATACGGGAAAAAAAAATACATCTAAATCAAAAAGGAAAAAATTATCTCCTTTGTTTGCAGATAACATAGATTTGTATGTAAGAAACCCTAAAGACACTGCCAATAAACTGTTGGAACTAATAAACAAATAAAATAAAGTTGTACTATACAAAATCAAATACAGAAATCAGTTTCATTTTAATACACTAACACTGAACTATCCAAAAACAGAATTAAGAAAAAAAATCGCATTTATAATAGCATGGAAAAGAATAAAATACTTAGAAATAAACTCGAGAAAGACAGTGAAAGACTTGTACTCTGAAAGCTACAAAACACTGTTGAATAAAAAAAAAAAACACAAATGAATAAAAGACATCCTGGCATTATGAACTGTATTACTTAATATTGTTAAAAAGTTAAAACGTTGTCTACAATGTTAGTGCTATCTCTATCAAAATACAATTATATTATATATATATAATATGTGTGTGTGTATATATATATATATATATATATATATATATATACATAATTCTAAATTTCAAATGGAAACAAAAGCAAAACTCCAAAATAGCCCAAGCAATATTAAGAAATAAAAACAAAGCTGGAGGTTCACGTTTTCTGATTTCAAAATAGAATACAAAGCTATAGTACATAAAACAATATGGTACTGGCATAAAGATAAGACTAATAAGAAAGAATAGACAGCCCACAAATAAACCTACTTATATACGGTAAATTAATTTTTGACAAGGGTGCCAATAACACACCGTGGGGAAAGAATAATCTCTTAAACAAGCCCAGTTGGGAAAACTGGCTACCACCTGCAAAAGAATAAAATTGGACCTTATCTCACACCATTTACAGAAATCAACTCAATTTATCAAAGACTTAAATGAAAGATTTTTGAAACAGTAAAACTCCTAGAAGAATACTTAGAGGGAAAAACTTCATGACATTTTTCTTGGCAATCAACAGCACCGGCTGCATAAGCAGAAATAGGCAAGAAAGACTACATCAAACTAAAAAGCTTCTACACAGCAAAGAAGAAAATCAGAGTAAAAAGGCAAGCTACTGAACTAGAAAAATATATTTACATACCATATACCTGATAAGAGATTAATAGCCAAAATATATAAGGAACACCTATGATTCAAAAGCAGAAAAAAATAAAAATAGGCAAAGGACTCGAGTAGACATTTCTCCAAAGAAGACATACAAATAGCCAACAGGTATGTAAAATAATGCTCAACATCACTGATAATCAGGGAAATACAATCAAAATCACAATGAAATATTACCTCACACTCGTTAAGATGGCTATGACAAAAAAACATGAAAGTAATCAAGTTTTGGCAAGGACTTGCAGAAATTGGAAGCATTTTACATTGTTGATGAGAATGTAAAGTGGTGTGACTGCTATGAGAAAGAGTTTCTAAAAAGATTAAAATAGGACTATCATACGATAAAGCAATCTCAATTATAAGTTTTTATCCAAATAAATTGAAATCAGAATATCATATTAATATCTGTACTTCCATGATCATGCAGCACTATTCACACTAGCCAAGATATGGAAAAACACCTAAGTGTCCATTGACAGATAAATGGATAAAAGAAAATTATATATATATATACACACACACAATATTCCATATATATATATACATATATAATATTCAGAACTAAAAAAGAAGAAAATCCTACTACAGGGATGAACTTTGAGTTCGTTATCCTAAGTGAAATAAGCCAATCACAGCAAGAAAAATAGGCATTATTCCACCCATATAATGTATCTAAAATAGTCCAATGCATAGAAACAATTGGTCATCAGGAGCTAAGGGGATAGAGAAATAAGGAGTTGTAGTTCAATCTTTGCTGTACATTATTCTTCTTATAGTTAACAATGCTGTGCTGTATGCTTAAACATTTGTTAAGACAGTATATCTCATGTCCAGTAATCTTACCACAATTAAAAAAAATAATTTCAGTGGAAAATAATAGAATCTTAAGAAAGAATGTATTAATTGTACTTTTTGGGGTTACAATCATTGAGCTCAACTTGTGTTGTGAGTACCTGAAGCTAATATATATTGAGATTTTTATTTATTTATTTTGAAAAGTTTGCAGACTTTTTCTGAAACTGCTCTGCTTCAGAAAACAATGATGCTGGATGTGACATAATTAAATGATAAATCGTCTAAATACCTATGACTGTAGTGCACAAACATGTGAGTATTTGTGAAAGAATTTAGAGAATAATAGCTAAAATCATAAAGAAATGGCAATACATAAAATATTTTTAAAGAACACCTCATGTAGTGGTAAAAATTAATAATTATAATTGTGCTTAAGTTGAAATTCTATAGTAATTGAGAATGTATGCCATGAGTGGTGGAACAAAAAAACTATACAAAAGTGATACAATTCATGTTCTAGGATAGATATTTTCAGTAATCAGATATAATGTTTGTACAAATTTGTTTTGAGTTCTAGTTAACATATCTTTGAAGATGGCCAAATAGAGCTCTGGTCTGCTGCTCCCAGCAAGATCAACACAGAAGATAGGTGATTTCTACTTTTCCAGCTGAGGTACTCAACTCATCTTATTGGGACTGGTTAGACAGTGGGTGCACCCCATGGGGACAAGCCAAAGCAAGGTGGGACATCACCTCACCTGAGAAGTGCAAGGGGTTGAGGAACTCCCTTCCCTAGCCAAGAGAAGCCATGAGGGACTATGCTGTGAGGCATGGTACATTCCAGCCCAGATACTACACTTTTCCCATGGTCTTCACAACCTGCAGACCATGAGATTCCCTCAGGTGCCTACACCATCAGGGCCCTGGGTTTCAAGCACAAAACTGGGCAGCTGATAAGGCAGACACCGAGCTAGCTGCAGGTTTCTTTTTTTGTTTTTTTTTTGTTTTTTTTTTTTTCATACCACAGTGGTACCTGGAATGCCAGCAAGACAGAACCATTCACTCCCCTGAAAAGGGTGTAAAGCCAGAGAGCTAAGTGGTCTAGCTCAGTGGATCCCACCCCCACGTAGCCCAGCAAGCTAAGATCTCCTGGCTAGAAATTGTCGCTGCCAGCACAGCTGTCTGAAGTAGACCTGGGATGCTTGAGCTAGGCAGGGGGAGGGATGAATGCCATTACTAAGGCTTGAGCAGGAGGTTTTTCCCTCACACTGTAAACAAAGCCACTGGGAAGTTTGAACTGTGGGGATCCCACCACAGCTCAGCAAAGACACGTAGCCAGACTGCCTCTCTAGATTCCTCCTCTCTTGGAAAGGCATCTGTGAAAGAAAAGCAGCAGCCCCAGTCATGGGTTTATAGATAAAACTCCCAACTCCCTGAGAAAGAGCTGCTGGGGGAAGGGGCGGCCATGGGTGCAACTTCAGCAGATGTAAACGTTCCTGCCTGCTGGCTCTGAAGAAAGCAGCAGATCTCCCAGCACAGTGCTTGACCTCTGCTAAGGGACAGACTTCCTCCTCAAGTGGGTCCCTGATCCCGTGCCTCCAGACTGAAAGACACCCCACAGCAGGGGTCAACAAATAACTTAGAAAGGAGAGCTCCAGCTGGCATCTGGCATGTGCCCCTCTGGGACAAAGCTTCCAGAGGAAGAAGCAGGCAGCAATCGTTGCTGTTCTGCAGCCTCCGCTGGTGATACCCACGCAAACAGGGTCTGGAGTGGACCTCAAGCAAATCCAGCAGACCTGCAGCAGACGGGCCTGGCTTTTAGAAGGAAAACTAACAAAAGGAAAGCAATATCATCGACGTCAATGAAAAGGACCTTCACACAAAAACCCCATCCTGAGGTCAGCAACATCAAAGACCAAAGGTAGATAAAACCATGAATGAAGAAAAACTACCACAAAAAGGCTGAAAATTCCAAAAACCAGAATGCCTCTTTTCCAAAGGGTCACAACTCCTTGTCAGCAAGGGAACAAAACTGGATGGAGAATGAGTTTGACGGATTGACAGAAGTAGGCTTCAGAACGTGGGTAATAACAAACTACTCCGAGCTAAAGGAGCATATACTAACCCAATGCAAGGAAACTAAGAACCTTGAAAAAAGGTTAGAGGAATTGCTAGCTAAAATAACCAGCTTTGAAAGGAACATAAATGACCTGAAGGAGCTGAAAAACTCAGCATGAGAACTTTGTGAAGCACACACAAGTATCAACGCCAAATCAATCAAGCAGAAGAAAGAATATTAGATATTAAAGATCAACTTAATGAAATAAAGCATAAAGACAAGATTAGAAAAAAAAATGAAAGGAAAGAAAAAAGCCTCCAAGAAATATGGGACTATGTGAAAAGACCAAACTTATGTTTGATTGGTGTACCTGAAAGTGACAGGGAGAACGGAATCAAGTTGGAAAACACTCTTCAGGATATTATCCAGGAGAACTTCCCCAAACTAGCAAGACAGGCCAACATTCAAATTCAGCAAATGCAGAGAACACCACAAAGGTACTCATCAAGAAGAGCAACCCCAAGACACATAATGGTCAGATTCACCAAGGTTGAAATGAAGGAAAAAATGTTAAGGGCAGTCAGAGAGAAAGGTTGGGTTACCAACAAAGGGAAGCCCGTCAGACTAACAGCAGATTTCTCTGCAGAAACCCTACCAGCTAGAAGAGAGTAGGGGTCAATATGGAACTAAATATAGAAAGAAAAAATGGGTACCAGACACTGAATAACCATACCAAATTGTAAAGACCATTGACACTATGAAGAAACTGAATCAACTAATGGGCAAAATAACCTTAAATGTAAATGATCTAAATGCCACAATTAAAAGGCACAGACTGGAAAACTGGATAGAGTCAAGACCCATCGGTGTGTTGAATTCAGAAGACTCATCTCACATGCAAAGGCACACATAGCCTCAACATAAAGTGAGGGAGGAACATTTACCAAGCAAATGGAAAGCTAAAAAAAAAAAAAAAAAGGGGGGGGGCATTGCAATCCTAAACTCTGATAAAACGGATTTTAAATCAACAAAGATCAAAAAAGAAAAGAAGGGCATTACGTAATGGTAAAGGGATCAATGCAACAAGAAGAGCTAACTATCCTAAATATATATGCACCCAACAGAGGAGCACCTAGATTCATAAAGCAAGTTCTTAGAGACCTACAAAGAGACTTAGACTCCCACACAATAATAGTAGGAGACTTTAACACCCCACTGTTAATATTAGACAGATTAACAAGACAGAAAATTAACAAGGATATTCAGGACTTGAACTCAGCTCTGGACTAAGCAGACCTAATAAACATCTACAAAATTAACCACCCCAAATCAACAGAATAGACATTCATCTCAGCACTACATCACACTAAATCTAAAATTGACTACATAGTGGGAAGTAAAACACTCCTCAGCAAATTCAAAAGAACAAAAATTATAACAAAAGTCTCTCAGACCACAGTGCAATCACAAATTAGGACTCAGGACTTAGAAACTCACTGAAAAATGAAAAGTACATGGAAACTGAACAAATTGCTTCTGAATGTCTGCTGGGTAAATAACAAAAGTAAAGCAGAAATAAGTTATGTGAAATCAATGAGAACAAAAACACAATGTACAAAATTCTCTGGGACACTGCAATTTATAGCACTAAATGCCCATAGGAGAAAGCAGGAGTGATCTAAAATCAACACCCTAATATCACAATTAAATGAACTAGAGAAGCAATAGCAAACAAATTCAAAAGCTAGCAGAAGACAAGAAATAACTAAGATCAGAGTAGAACTGAAGGAGATAGAGACACAAAAATCCCTTCAAAAAATCAATGAATCTGGAAGCTGTTTTTTTGAGAAGATTAACAAAATACATAGACTGCTAGCTAGAATAATAAAGAAGAAAAAAGAGAAGAATCAAATAGACACAATAAAAAATGATAACGGGGATATCACCACAGATCCCACAGAAATACAAACTATCATCAGAGAATACTATAAAGAGCTCTAAACAAAGAAACAAGAAAATATGGAAGAAATTGATAAATTCCTGGACACATACACCCTTCCAAGACTAAGCCAGGAAGAAGTCAAATCCCTGAAGAGACCAATATCAAGTTCTGAAACTGAGGCAGTAATTAATAGCCTACCAACCAAAAGAATCCCAGGACCAGATGTATTCACAGCTGAATGCTACCAGAGGTACAAAGAGAAGCTGGTACCATTTCTCCTGAAAATATTCCAAACAATAGATAAAGAGCAACTCCTCCCTAACTCATTTTATGAGGTCAGCATCATCCTGATACCAAAACCTGGCAGAGACACAACAACAACAAAAATTTCAGACCAATATCCCTGATAAATGTCGATGCAAAATCCTCAATAAAATACTGGCAAACTGAATTCAGCAGCACAATAAAAAGGTTATCCACCACGATCAAGAAACTTCATCCCTGGGATGCAAGGCTTGTTCAACATATGCTTATCAATAAACGTAATCCATCTCATAAAAAGAACCAATGACAAAAACCATATGATTATCTCTCAGAAGATGCAGAAAAGGCCTTCAATAAAAATTCAACACCCCTTCATGCTAAAAACACTCAATAAACTAGGTATTGATGGAACATATCTCAAAATATTAAGAGCTATTTATGACAAACCCACAGCCAATATCATACCAAATGGGTCAAAGCTGGAAGCATTCCCTTTGAAAACCAGTACAGGACAACAATGCCCTCTCTCACCACTCTTATTCAACATAGTATTAGAAGTTCTGGCCAGGGCAATTAGGCAAGAGAACGAAAGACAGCGTATTCAAATAGGAAGAGAGGAAGTCAAATTGTCTCTGTTTGCAGATGATATGATTGTATATTTTAAAAAACCCCATCGTCTCATCTCAAAATCTCCTTAAGCTGATAAGCAATTTCAGCAAAGTCTCAGGATACAAAATTAATGTGCAAAAATCACAAGCATTTCTATACACAAATGATGGGCAAACAGAGAGCCAAGTCATGAGTGAACTCCCATTCAGAATTGCTACACAGAGAATAAAATACCTAGGAATACAACTTACAAGGGATGTGAAGGATCTCTTCAAGGAGAACTACAAACCACAGCTCAAGGAAATAAAAGAGGACACAAACAAATGTAAAACATTCCATGCTCATGGATAGGAAGAATCAATATCATGAAAATGGCCACACTGCTCAAAGTAATTTATATATTCAATGCGATCCCTATTAAGCTACCATTGACTTTGTCCACAGAATTAGAAAAAAACTACTTTAAATTTTACATGGAACCAAAAAAGAGCCTGTATAACTGAGACAATCTTAATCAAAAAGAACAAAGCTGAAGTCAGCATGCTACCTGACTTCAGACTATACTATAAGGCTACAGTAACCAAAACAGCATGATACCAGTACCAAAACAGACATATAGACCAATGGTATAGAACAAAGCCTCAGAAATAACACCACACATTTACAGCCATTTGATCCTTGACAAACCTGACAAAAACAAGCAATGGGGAAAGGATTCCCTATTTAATAAACGGTGTTGAAAAAACTGGCTAGCCATATGCAGAAAACTGAAACTGGACCACTTCCTTACACCTTATACAAAAATTAACTCAAGATGGATTAAAGACTTACATCTTTGACCTAAAACCATAAAAACCCTAAAAGAAAACCTAGGCAATACTATTCAGGACACAGGCATAGGCAAAGAATTCATAACTAAAACACCAAAAGCAATGTCAACAAAAGCCAAGATTGACAAATGGGAGCTAATTAAACTAAAAGCTTCTGCACTCCAAAAGAAACTATCATCAGTGTGAGCAGGCAACCTACAGAATGGGAGAATACTTTTTCAGTCTATCCATCTGACAAAAGGCTAATATCCAGAATCTACCAGGAAGTTAAACAAATTTACAAGAAAAAAGCAAACAATCCCATCAAAAAGTGGGCAAAAGATATGAACAAACACTCCTCAAAAGAAGACATGTATGCGGCCAAAAAATATATGAAAAAAAGCTCATCATCATTGGTCATTAGAGAAATGCAAATCAAAACCACAATGAGATACCATCTCACACCAGTTAGAATGGCGATTATTCAAAAGTCAGGAAACAACAGATGCTGGAGAGAACATGAAGAAACAGGAACACTTTTACAATGTTGGTGGGAGTGTAAATTAATTCAACTATTGTGGAAAACTGTGGCAATTCCTCAAGGATCTAGAATCAGAAATACCATTTGACTCAGCAATCCCATTAATGGGTATACACCCAAAGGATTATAAACCATTCTACTATAAAGACACATGCACACGTATGTTTATTGCAGCACTGTTCACAATAGCAAAGACTTGGAACAAACCCAAATGCCCATCAATGACAGACTAGATAAAGAAAATGTGCTACATATACACCATGGAATAATAGGCGGCCATAAAAAGGAATGAGATCATGTATTTTGCAGCGACATGTCTGAAGGTAGACACCATCATCCTCAGCAAACTAACACAAGAACAGAAAACCAAACACCACGTGTTCTCAATCATAAGTGGGAGATGAACAGTGAGAACCATGGACACAGGGAGGGGAGCTTCACACAACGGAGCCTGTTGTGGGGTGGGAGGCTAGGGGAGGGATAACATTAGGAGAAATACCTAATGTAGATGACAGGTTGATGGGTGCAGCAAACCAGCATGGCACGTGTATACTTATGTAACAAACCTGCATGTTCTGAACATGTATCTCAGAACTTCAGTTATAATTTTAAAAAAAACTAAGTGAGAAGCACACTTTCATATGATATATTAAATTTGCATTATTTTATCCAGAATAAAATATCATACATATTTAAACTTTGAATGTAACACTGACTTGTACTATAAACACAGTACCTGGTTAAAGAACAGGCTTATTGAAGAACAATCAAAGGAGTATCTTTTTATTAAAGAAGTACTCCAGAATGCTTCCTAAACTTCTAATACATAATCAAATACTTACTCAACCTCTGAATTAAAGAGCAAATTTAACATGTTGAAACCTGAAACTCGTATTTCTTTCCTAACATTGTTGACATTATGTTCGTCCATCCAGTAACTCAGACAAGATCTTAGGGTCATTTAGGTATTTTTATCTCACATACCAGACATCTAATCCAAAAGTAGGGGCTGGATGCAGAGCAAGATGGCAGAATAGAAAGTTCCACTAATCAGCCTCCCATCAAGCACACCAAATTAATGACTATCTATGGAGAAAAAACAACTTACTAAAAGCCAAAAACTAGATGAGCACTCCCACTACCTCAGTACCTGGTTTGATCTTCATTGTTGAAAGAGGCACTGAAGAGATAGAAAACTCAGTCTTGAACCGCCGATGCCACCTCTTTCCCACTCCCAGCAACAGCAGCATGTTGCAGGGATCATCTCTGGTTGCTAGGCGAAGTAGAACACAGCAATTGTGAGGCTCTGAATTCAATGCTGTCCTGTTAAAGCGGAAACATAAACCAGACCAAACTCAACAGGTGCTTGCCCACAACGGGAGCATTTAAACCATCCCTAGTCAGAGAGCAATTGCTGATACAAGTGGTCCAGATTTGAGTGCTCAAACCTTGCCACGAAGGGTCAAAATAATCTCAGCCTCTAAGTAAACCTGAAATGCAGTCGAGGCCATAAGGACTGCAACATATAGTTGAATTCTAGGGCTGTACTAGGCCCATAGACAATGGACTGAGGGTCGGGGGACACGACATACTGAGACACCAGCTGTGGCAGCCAAGGGATTGCTGGCATCACCCATTCCCTAGACTCAAGCTGCACAACATAAGGCTCCAAAAGAGACCCCTGTCTTCTGCTTAGGGAGAGGAGAGGGAAAAGTGGAGAGGACTTTTTTATACATCTAGATAACAGCTCAGCCACAGCAAGACAGGGCAACAGTTGGAGTTGTGAGGCCCCCATTCCAGGCCCCATCTCCCAGATAACATTTCTAGATACACTCTGGGCCAGAAGGGATGCCATTGCCTTGAAGGAAAGGACCCAGACCTGCCAGCATTTATCACCTGCTATGTGAGGAGACCCAGGTATTCCCAGGTACTACATCAAGGGCCTTGGTGAGCCTCTGAGACTTTCTGACTTCAGGTTACCAGCTGTGGTGGTTATGGGGCAAAACTCCTTCTGATTGAGAGAAGCAGAAGGAAAAGTAAAAGGGAATTTTGCCTTGCACCTAAGTTACCAATACCACCATGGGGGGTAGAGTACAAAGGTGGCTTTGGGGTTCCTGGTTCCAGGACTTGACTCTTGGATGGCATTTCGTGACCTGCCCTGGACCAAAGAGGTGCCCACTACCCTGAAGGGTGAGTACCAGGCCAGGAAGGATTCACCACAAACTGACTTCGGAGACCTTGGGCCTTAAGAGGACATTGGTGGTAGTCTGGTACTAATCCCTGTGGCCAGAGTGGGTGTTGGCTATGAAGTGAGGTTCCTCTGTCTGTAGAAAGGGGAGAGAAGAATGGGAAGAACTGCATGTTGCAGTTTGAGTGCCAGCTCAGTCCCAACACAATAGAAAACCAGGGAGACTCTTAAGTTTTTCTATCCTAGGCCCTGAGTCCTGATGGTATTTCAGGGCCCACCCATGTCCTGCGGGACCTCATTGCCCCGAAGGGAAAAACATCAGCCTGGCTGGCTTTGGTACTTGCTGATTGTAGAGCCCCGGGACCTTGAGTGAACACAGGCAGTACCAGGGAGTGGTTACAGCAGGCCTTGGGTGAGACACAGAGCTATGTTGGCTTCATCTCTGACCCAGTGCAGTCATAGTGGTGATGGCTACAGAGGTGTTTATGTCACTCCACCTACAACTTTAAGTGACTCAGAACAAAGAGAGAGAGAGAGAGAAGGCGGGGGGGCGGGGAGCTCTTTATGGTTGAGAGAAGAAACAAGGGACTGTGCCTGGTAATCCAGAAAATGCTCCCAGACCTTATTCAAGATCATTAATATGGTACCTCTATGAGTCTGCAAAACCACAGTGTTACTGGGCTTTGGGTGCCCCCTAAAGCATAAACAGCTTAGATCACATCACGTAAAGCATTCCCAAGAAAAATAACTACAAATAAGCTTAGACAGTGAAGACTACAATAAATACCTAACTCTTCAATGGCCAGACATCAAAGAACATCTGCTACCCTCAACACCATTCAGGAAAACATGGTCTCAACATATAGGTCACTAAATAAGGTATAAGAGAACAATTCTGGAGCAACAAATATGTGACCTTTCAGACACAGAATTCAAAATAGCTGTGTTAAGGAAATAAAGAAATTCGAGATAACACAGAGAAGGAATTCAGAATTCTATCAGACAAAATTATCAAATATATTGAAATAATTAAAAGGAATCAAGCAGAAATTCTGGAGCTGAAAATGCAATTGCTATACTGAATAATCCATCAGAGTCCTGTAATAGCAGAATAGATCAAGCAGAAGAAAGAATGTGTGAACTCTAAGACAGGCTATTTGAAAATATACAGTCAGAGGAGACAAAAGAAAAAAAAACAATAAAACACACCTACAATATCTACAAAATAGACTAGAACAAGCAAATCTAAGAATTACTGGCTTTAAAGAGGAGGTAAATAAAAAGATAGGGATAGTAAGTTTATTCAAATGGATAATGACAGAGAACTTCCCAAAGCTAGAGAAATATATCAATATCCAAGTACAAGAAGATTATAAAACACCAAGCAGATTTAACCCCAACAAAAGTAACTCAAAGTATTTAATAATAAGACTCCCAAAGATCAATGATAAAAAAAAATCCTAAAAGCAGCGAAATAATACAAGCTGATAATATGAAATGGAGCTCTAATACATCTGGCAGCAGACTTTTCAGAGAAAACCTTACAGGCCAGGACAGAGTGGCATGACATATTCAAGGTGCTAAAGAAAAAATACTTTAACACCTGAATAGTATATCCAACAAAAATATCCTTCAAACATGAATAAGAAATAAAGACATTTCCAGACAAACAAAATCTGAGGGATTTCATAAATACCAGACCAAAACTCATTCTACAAAAAAAGTCCTAAAGTGAGTACTTCAATCAGAAAGAAACGAACATTAATGAAGAATAAATAATCACATAAAGGTTAAAAAACCTTATCCGTGACAGTAAGTATACATAAAAACACAGAATATTATAACATTGTAACTGTGGGGTATAAACTATGTTTATCCTAATTATAAAGAATAAACAATAAACAATGAATCAATTAAAAATAGTAACTACAATAATTTTTCAAGACATAGTATGAAAGATATAAATAGAAACAATAAAAAGTTAAAAAGTTGGAAACAGTTAAGAAGACTCTTCATAAGTTTCCTTTTTGATTCTTGCTTGTTTATGCAAATAGTGAAAAGTTTTTATCTGGTTAAAATAATGGGTTATAGGATAGTATTTGTAAGCCTCATGGTAACCTCAACCCAAAAAACATACAATGGATATGTAACACATAAAAAGCAAGAAACTAAATCATCTCACCAAGAAAATCATTTTCACTAGAGAAGATAGAAATGAAAAAAAGAAAGAGACCACAAAAGAAACAGAAAATAAAATGGCAGGAGTAAGTTCTTATCGATAATAACATTAAATGTAAATGAACTAAATTTTCCAATCAAAAGACATAGACCGGCTAAATGCATGAAAAAATGAGATCCATTGATCTGTTGTCCACAAGAAACACACTTCACCCATAAAGACACACATACATTAAAAATAAACAAATGAAAAAAAGATATTCCATGCCAATGGAAACCAAAAAAGCACAGACAACACAGAATTCAAGACAAAAACTATAAGAGACAATGAAGGTCACTATATAATGATAAAGGGGTCAATTCAGGAAGAAGATATTACAATTTTAAATATATATGCACCCAACATGGGACCACACAAATACAGGAAGTAAATATTATTAGTGCTAAAGAAAGAGATAGGCCCAAATACAATAATAGCTGAAAGCTTTAACACCCCATTTTCAGCAATGGGCAATCTTCCAAACAGAAAATAAACAAAAGAACATCAGACTTAATCTGCACTATAGACCAAATGGATCTAACAAATATTTACAGGAGAGTTCATCCAAGAGATACAAATACACAGTATTTTTCTCAGTGCATGGACCATTCTCAAGGATAGACCATATGTTAGGTTACCAAACAAGTATTAAACTACTCTACAAAATTGAAATAATATGCAGCATCATCCTTGACCATGATGAAATGAAACTAAAAATTAGTAACAATAAATATTTAGGAAACTACACAAATGCAAGGAAATTAAACCATATGCTTTTAAATTAGCAGTAGGTCAATAAAGAAATTAAGAAGCCGATAAAAAATTTATTGAAATAAATGATAATGAAAAAAATATCAAAACCTATGGGATAGAGCAAAAGCAGTATTCAGAGGGAAGTTTATAGTTACAAGTACCTACATCGAAAAAACAGAAGAGCTTCAAATAAACAATCCAACAACTCATCTTTAGAAATAGAAAAGCAAGAGCAAACTTAGTAGGAAAAAAATGATAAAGATTAGAGCAGAAATAAATAAAATTGAAATAAAAAATCCATAAAATCAAAAGATGTTTTTTGAAAATTTAAACAAAATTGACAAACCTTAAGCCAGACTAAGAAAGAAAGATTGAATATCTAAATAAATAAATCCCGAAATGAAAAGGCACACATTACAACTGATAGTGCAGAAATTCAAAGGCTCATTGGTGGCTACTATGAGCAACTATATGCCAATAAATTGGAAACTCTAGAAGAAATAAACGAATTCTTAGACACACACCATCTACCAAGATTGAACCAGGAAAAAATTAAAAACCTGAAAAAGCCAGTAACCAATAACAAATTCAAAGCTGTAATAAACCATCTTTCAATAAAGAAATTTCTGAGACCTACTGGCTTCACTGACGATTTCTAAAAAACACTTAAATAAGAATTGATATAAATCTTACTCAAATTATTACAAAAAATAAAGGAGGGAATATTTCCAAACTCATTCTCTGAGGCTAGTATTACTCTGACAGCAAAATCAGACAAAAACGTGTCAAAACAACAACAGCAATAACATTCATTACAGGCCAATATCTCCGATAAATACTGATGTGAATATCCTAAAACAAAACAAACAAACAAAAAACCTAGCAAATCAAATTCAACAATACATTTCAAAGATTATTAATCATGACCAAATGGTATTTATTTCTGGGATGCAAGGATGTTTCAATATTTGCAAATTAATCAACATGATACATCATATCAACAGAATGAAGAATAAAAATCATATTATAATTTCCATTGATGCTGGAAAAGCATTTGATAAAATTCAACATCTCTTCATGATAAAAAACCCTCATCAAACTGGGTATAGAAGGACATAATTCAAAATAATAAAAGCTGTATATGGCAGACCCACAGCTAGTATCATACTAAATAAGGAAAACTTGAAAACCTTCCTTCTAAGACATGGAAGTTAATGAGGATGTCCAATGTCACCACTGTTGTTCAGCATAACTCTGGAAATTCTAGATAGAGCAACCAGACAAGATAAAGATTCAAAGGGCATCTAAATTTGACAAAAAAATGTCAAATTGTCATTGTTTGTAGATGATACGATTTTATATTTGAGAAAACGTAAAGATTTCACAAGGTAACTACTAAAAGTGGTAAACAAATTCAGTAACATTGCATAATACAAAATCAACATACAGCAATTAGTAGCATTTCTATATGCCAACAGTGAACAATGTGAAAAAGAAAGAAAAAAAGTAATGCAATTTATAATAGCCACACTTAAAATTAAATATTTAGAAAATAACCAAAGGAGTGAATAATCTCTATAATAAAAACTATATATCATTAATAAAGAAAAGTGAAGAGGTCATCAAAAATGGAAAAAATATTCCATGTTCATAAACTGGAAGAATCAATATTGTGAATTGTCCATACTACCCAAAGCGATGTATAGATTCAATGCAATCCCTATCAAAATACCAATGACATTCTTCACATAAGTAGAGAAAACAACCCTAACATTTATATGGAACCACAACGAACCCTGAATACCTATAAGCAAAACAAACAAACAAGCAAACACCGCAAAAATCAAATTACCTGACTTCAAATTATACTATAGAACTATAGTATAGTATAGTTACTATAGAACTATAGTAACCAAAACAGACATATAGACCAATGGAACAGAATGGAACAGAATAAAAACAGACATATAGACCAATGGAACAGAATAGAGAAGCCAAAAACAAATTCATACCTACAGTGAACACATTTTTGACAAAGTTGACAAGAATATGCACTGGGTAAAAACAGTTTCTTTAATAAATAGTGCTGGGAAAACTGGATAGCCATAAGCAATGGAATAAAACTGGACCACTATCTCTTGCTTTATACAAGAATAAAATCAAATTTGATTAACATCTCAAATATAAACCTCAAACTACAAAAATATTACAATAATACACTGGGGAAAATCTGCAGGACATTAATCTGGGCAAAGATTTTTTGAGCAATATCCCACAAACACAGGCAACCAAAGCAAATATGGAAAAACAAGATGCCAACAAGTTAAAAAGCTTTCACACAGCAAATGATATAATCGAAAAAGTGAAGAGACAACCCACAGAATGGGAGAAAATGTTTGCAAACTACCCCCCTGACAAGGGATTAATCACCAGAATACATAAGGAGCACTAACAACTCTATAGAAAAAAATCTAGAAGTTCAATCAAAATGGGCAAAAGATTCAAATAGACATTTTTCAAGAGAACACATACAAATGGCAAACAAGCATATGCAAAAGTGCCCAAAATCAATGATTGTAAGAGAAATGCAAATCACAACTTCAAAAAGATATGATATCACCTGAGTTAAAATGGTCTATATCCAAATGACAGGCAATAATGAATGCTGATGAGTATGTGGAGAAAAGGGAACACTTGTACACTGTTGATGGAAATGAAATTTAGCACAACTACTATGGATAATAGTTTGGAGGTTCCTCAAAATCTAAAAATTGAGCTAACATATGGTTCAGAAATACCACTGCTGGGTACATACCCCAAAGAAAGGAAATCATCATATTGAAGAGCTATCTGCAGTCATATTTGCTGCAGCACTGTTTACAATAGCTAAGATTTGGAAGCAACCTAAGTGTCCATGAACAGATGAATGTATAAAGGAAATATGGTACATATACACAGTAGAGTACTATTCACCCACAAAAGTGAATGAGATTCTGTCATTTGCAAAAGCATGGTTGGAACTGGATATCATAATGTTAAGTGAAATAAGCCAGTCATAAAAATACAAACATTACATGTTCTCACTTATTTGTGAGATCCCAAAATTAAATCAATTGAACTAATGGAAATAAAAAGTAGAAGGGTGGTTACCAGAGCCTGGAAAAGGTAGTGGGGATTTTGAGGGGAGGCATGGATGTTTAATGGGTACAAAAATAGAAAGAATGAATAAAACCTACAGTCTGAAAGCACAATATGGTGACTATAGACAATAATAACTTAATTGTATATTTCAAAATAAGTTAAAGTACGTAATAGGATTGTTTTTAACTTAAAGGATAAATGCTTGAGGAGATGGAGACCCTAGTCTCCATGATGTGCTTATTTCACATCAAATGCTTATATCAAAACATCTCAAGAACCCCATAAATATAGACACCTACTATGTACCCACCAAAACTTTTTAAAATTAATTAATAATTAAAAATTCCAAAAGCAATTTTTGACTTTTAATACATATGTATAATTTATAAATATTTATAAATGCATGACAATATACATAATATATACACAATATATATACATAGTGACTTCATTGCACTATTCCCACTGTTACAAATCTGACGAAACACAATTACCATTCACCTAATTGCCTGAAATAGCCTACTAGCAAACAGTACTTTCTTCAACCCTTGTCCGTACATAATCTTCTCCACATAGTATCAAGTTTTTAATGTGTTTAAAAAAAATAAAAACCCAAACAAACACACACCCTCAAAAAAGCACATGCTGGGCACAGTGGCTCATGCCTGTAATCCCAGCACTTTCAGAGGTCGAGGTGGGCAGATCATGAAGTGAAGAGATCAAAACTACCCTGGCCAACATGGTGAGACCCCATCTCTATTAAAAAATACAAAAAATTTCTGGGCTTGGTGGCACACACCTGTAGTCCCAGCTACTTGGGAGGCTGAGGCAGGAGAATTACTTGAACCTGGGAAGTGAAGGTTGCAAATGAACCGAGATCGCCCCACTGCACTCCAGCTTGGTGACAGAGCAAGACTGTGTCTCAAACAAACAAAAAAACAAAAACAAAACAAACAAAAAAACAGTGAGTCAGATCATGGTAGTCTCTTTTCAAAATCCTACAATAGTTTCCGGTTTAACTCAGAAAAAAAGTCATTAAAAAGACTACAATACGGCCGGGCGCGGTGGCTCACGCCTGTAATCCCAGCTCTTTGGGAGGCCGAGGCGGGTGGATCATGAGGTCGGGAGATCGAGACCATCCTGGCTAACAAGGTGAAACCCCATCTCTACTAAAAATACAGAAAATTAGCTGGGCGCGGTGGCGGGCGCCTGTAGTCCCAGCTACTCGGGAGGCTGAGGCAGGAGAATGGCGTGAACCCGGGAGGCGGAGCTTGCAGTGAGCCGAGATTGCGCCACTGCAGTCCGCAGTCCGGCCTGGGCAACAGAGCGAGACTCCGTCTCAAAAAAAAAAAAAAAAAAAAAAAGACTACAATACTTTGCCTAATTTCACCATTATTTACTTCAATAATGTTATTTCATAATACTTTTTCCCATGTATTCTTGGTTCTAACCATGATGGACCCAAGGTTTTAATACTTCATGCATACTTACATTTGTGCTCTGACTATTCCTTTACACGGAATAAACTTCTATACTTGGAATGTCTATCTCAATCATCTTTGAACCTCCTCAATGACATTATACATTGTACCAAATGAAAATGCAACAAATTGTTTCCTGCCTCACAACAAACACCCCTACTATACCGTTTTTCCATTTGCGCTATCAACTTATAACATAATACAAAGTCTTCTTGCTTGCTATATGTATTTATTTATTTATTTTCTGTATTAGACTGTTAACCCTACCTGGGGAAGCATCTTTATGCAGTGTGGTACATGTAATCTCTTATATATCTCAGTGGACTTGAACACTGCCACTATCTGGCACATAATAGGTTCTTAATAAATATTTATGGAATGATTCTAGCCAACCAAGAACATTCTACTCTGCAAAGTGGAGACATGATCAGTAAATTAGGGTGCTTTTGTTTGTTTGTTTGTTTTGTAGTGTAAGATTTACAGATTGGTTAAATTTTCCATGCAAAGATTGGAGAAAGTCAAGACCAGCACCTTGTATTTTAATTACCTATTGTATTAGAGGTAATACATGGTTTACCTCTAATGGCCATGGTTTTAAATTATTTTACACAACTACAAAATATAGCTTGAGATAAAAATACATGGAAAGAAACAGTAAAAACTGTATCACCAATTATGATAAATGGCATGTATTAATGCCCTTATTGCTAGAAAGACAAAATTAAAATATTCTGCTTCCCTCTTCCGTGTTCAGACTTCACCTGTTTATTACTTGGTGGAGTTAGCAGAAAAGTAATTTTACTACCAATCAGGTTAGTAAATTATAAGTAATAATTGAGTTTCTTCTTAATGAAAATACTCCCTGCAGTGAATAATATATATTTAAATGTATTTCACTTTGTTGACAATTACTCTCCAATTTACTAAATGTATATTTTGTATGAAAACAGGGAAACAGCATATGTTGTAGAGATTTCTGTTTTTTAGACATGAAAGACAAAGACACAATTTACTACTTCATAAATAAATGTTTACCATTACTCCCTCATTATTTGATTTTAGATATTGAATTATTGATCAGCATCTGCTCCTTAGAACCAGATTGTGTATTTAGTGAGGTTTCTGTTCATATGTTGTTTTCTCTGTGGGAAATAAATTGTTTCTCTGTAGGAAGCATTTGATGTTTACTAATAAGTTGTTTTCTCAGTAGGCTTGGACTTCTGAGTGTTGAAATTTAAATTGCTCTTTCTCTTATTACATTGAGCCCATTTCAATATTATACAAGTTCTTGGACATTGGAGACTTTTTTAGCACAGATTTATTATGTATAATGTCAAGCAATACTTAAAGATAGTTTGGAATTAATGTATTAGAAGTTACTCTATGTAATGGTATTTCTTAATCGGACAGAAGCATTTTTGGACATATTTTTCTTTTTTATAATTGATTAAATATACATTTCCAAAGCTCTTTCACTTAAATCTAGCAGATACTAATTCCATTGTTTTCAATATTTGAAAACAATGTTACATAATTAAGTTGGTTATTAGATAGAATATAATGATTTAATACAAATGTATAAGTTTGTTGTTTGGATTTCAAATAAAGCATTATTTTTACACTATTTTTCCTTCCTCTTCCTTCCTTCCTTCTTTCCCTCCCTCTTTCTCTCCCTCCCTCCCATCTTCCTTCCTTCCTTTCTTCCATGCTTCCTTCCTCCTTTCCTTCCTTCCTTCCTTCTTTCCCTCCCTCTTTCCCTCCCTCCCTCCCTCCCATCTTCCTTCCTTCCTTCCTTCCAGAATTGCAGAATGAACAAGAATTTCCCAACCAACTATCTGCTGCTTTCAAGAGTCTCACCTGCCACAAAATGACTCACATAAACTTAAGGTAAAAAGGTGGAAAAAGACATTCCATGCAAATCAACACCAAAAGCAAGAAGGAGTAGCTATTTTTATATGAGACAAAAAAAAAACTTTAAAGCAACAGCAGTTAAAAAACGAAAAAGTGACATTATATAATGATAGAAGACCTTGTCCAATAGGAAAATATCACAATCCTAAATATCTATGCATTTAACACTGGGGCTTCCAAATTCATAAAACGAGTACTAATAGACCTAAGAAATGAGATAGACAGCAACACAATAATAGTTGGGGACTTCAATACTTCACTTACAGTACTAGACAGGTTATCAAAACACAAAGAAACAATAGATTTAAACTATACCCTGGAACAAATGGACTTAACAGGTATATACAGAAAATTCTATCCAAAAAACCCAGAATATATATTCTATTCATCAGTGCATATAACTTTCTCCAAGATAGACCATATTATAGGCCACAAAACAAACCTCAGTTTTAAAAAATTGAAATTATATTAAGCACTCTCTCAGACCACGGTGGAATAAAACTAGAAATCAACTCCAAAAGTAACCTTGAAAACCATGCAAATAGATGGAAATAAAATAACCTGCTCGTGAATGATCATTCTGTCAAAAATGAAATCACACCTCAAGGAACTAGAGAAACAAGGATAACACAAAACCAAACCCAGCAGACAAAATGAAATAACCAAGATCAGAGCAGAACTAAGTGAATTTTTTTAAAAAAGTACAAAAGATAAATGAAACAATAAGCTGGTTCTTTGAAAAGATAAATAAATTGATAGACCACTAGCAAGATTATCCAAAAAAAGTAGAGAAATAATCCAAATAAACTCAATTAGAAACAAAATAGAAGATATTACAACTGACACCACAGAAATATAAAAGATCCTACAAGGATACTATGAACGCCTTTAGGCACATAAACTAGGTTAAATCAGGAATAAATAAATACCCTGCACAGACCAATAACAAGCAGTGAGATTGAAATTTTAATAAAAAATTACCAACAAAAAAAGTCGAGGAACAGATGGAGTCATGGCAGAATTCTAGCAGACTTTCAAAGAAGAAATTGTAGCAATCCTGTTGACACTATTTCTTGAGGTATTCTTAAGTAAATTTAATCTAGTTAGTGTTTTACAACCTTCTTGTTTTTGAACATTCATATCTTTCTCTAGGTTTTGAAATTATCTGTTATTACCTCTTTGCATATAGTTTCTATGCCTATGCCATTGCCACTACATTGCCTATGCCAATGCCAAACTCTTTCTCTACCTCCTCTTTGAGATTAGTTAATCTTAGATTTGTCGAGTTTAGGCTATTTTCTATATCTTGTAGCTGTGCTTCATTTTTTAATTTTTTTCTTTTGTCTCCTCTGACTCTGTATTTTCACATAGCCTGTCTGCAATCTAACTAATTCTTTCTTCTACATGTTAAGTTCTGTTATGTTTTCCTGGATGGTCTTGATGCTTATAAGACCCGGACACTGAAGAATCTGTTATGTATTCTAATATTTGAAGCCTGGGCATTTTTGTTTCTGTCCTTTTATAGAAGGCTTATCAGGTATTCAGAGATTTGAGTATTATGATCTACCTTTTTTTTTGCCACTGCAACTATATCTGCATTAGGGCCAAGCCACAAACCCAGTAATGCTGTGACTCTCGGAGACTTATTAAAGTACTGCCTTGGTGGTGTTGGGTAAGATCCAGAATTCCCTGGATTACCTGACAGATTTTTGTTGTTGTTGTTCTTTTCTCTTAGTTTTCCTCAAAAATATTTAGTCTCTCTTCTGTGCTAAGCTGCCTGAAGTTGGGTAGGAATAATGCAGGCTTTCTTGTGGCCACCACCTCTGTGATTACGTTGGGTCATACCTTAAGCCAGCAGTTTACTGAATCTTACCCAAGTCCTATGGCGATGACTGAGGAATCCTTCCAGTACTGGGCCTTTCCTTTCAGGGCAGCAGGTTTCTTTGTGGCCTAGGATAGATCTAGAAATGCCATTCAAGAGATAGCGCCTGGAATCAGGGGTTTTCACAATCTACTTATTGCATTATTTTACTGTGGTTGAGCTGGTACCCAAGTTGTAAGACAAAGTCATCTTTACTTTTCTCCCTCCTTTACATAAGCAGAAGGAGTTTCTTTCAATTTCCACAGTCTTCTCAGGCCTGTGGTGACTACTGCCTAGAAACTGCCAATGTTTATTCAAGGATGATGGGCTCCTTAGTCAGTAGATGATGTCTTCTGGGAACTAGGGCCTGGAATCAGGACTTCAGAACTCTATGTGGTGCATTATTTTAGTGTGGCTGAGCTGGTGTCCCAGTTGCAATACAAAGTCCTCATTATCTTCCCTTTTTTTCTCCCCTCAAATGGAAAGAGTTTGGCTGTGACAGGCAGCCCTGAATTCCAACCCAAGGTCCTCCAATCACTTTGCTCTCACTTTCCCAAACACACAGATTCTTTCTCCATGCCACACAGCATTGACAGGGAATAGGAGGAGGCAGTGTAGGCAATTTAAGACTGTCTTACCTACCTCTTTCAATGCTTCTGTTTGATATAATGTAAAAACCAGGCACTGTGGTTATACTCCTGAGTTCTGCAACTTATGATGGTACTTTCTTTTGTGAATAGTTGTTCAATACAGTGTTCTTGTGGGGAAAATGATCACTGAAATGTTCTATTCAGGCATCTTGCTCTATCTCCTATATTGATTTATTTTCCTTTGGGTAGATACTCACGAGTCAGACTGCTAGAACAAACTGTAGTTCTATATTTAGCTCTTCAAGAAACCTCTATATTATTTTTCACAATGGTTGTAATAATTTACCTTCCTACCAACAGTGTATAAGAGTTCCCTTACCTCTATAGCCTTGCTAACATCAGTTATATTTGACATTTTTAGTGATAGCCATTCTGACTGGGGTAAGATGATATCTTATTGTGGTTTTAATTTGCATTTCTCTGACAATTAGTTATGTGGAGTTTCTTTAATACACATGTTGGCCATTGTATGTCTTCTTTTGACAAGTGTCTATTCATATTCCTTGCCTCCTTTTTAATGGGGCTGTTTATTTTATTTTGCTGTTCCTGTTGAGTCATTTGAGTATCTCGTGTACTTTGGATATTTGACTCTTGCCATATGCATAATTTGCAAATATTTTCTCCAATTCTTCAGGTTGTCTGTTCAGTCTACATATTATTTTTCTTGCTGTGCAACATTTGAGTTTAATTTAGTTATATTTTTCTATTTTGTTTTTTATTGCTTGTGCTTGAGAACTTAGTCATCTATTATTCACCTAGATAAAAGTTCACAAGAGATTTCCCAAGGCTTTCTTCTAGTCTTTTTGAAGATCAGGTCATACATTTACATTTTTATTCCATCTTGAGTTGACTTCTGTTTTTTTATTTTTTTATTTTTTATTTTTATTATACTTTAAGTTTTAGGATACATGTGCACAACGTGCAGGTTAGTTACATATGTATACATGTGTCATGTTGGTGTACTGCACCCATTAACTCGTCATTTAACATTAGGTATATCTCCAAATGCAATCCCTCCCCACTCCCCCCACCCCACAACAGGCCCCGGTGTGTGATATTACCCTTCCTGTGTCCATGTGTTCTCATTGTTCAACTCCCACCTATGAGTGAGAACATGCAGTGTTTGGTTTTTTGTCCTTGCGATAGTTTGCTGAGAATGATGGTTTCCAGACTCATCCATGTCCCTACAAAGGACATGAACTCATCATTTTTTATGGCTGCATAGTATTCCATGGTGTATATGTGCCACATTTTCTTAATCCAGTCTATCATTGTTGGGCATTTGGGTTGGTTCCAAGTCTTTGCTATTGTGAATAGTGCCGCAATAAACATATGTGTGCATGTGTCTTTATAGCAGCATGATTTATAATCCTTTGGGTATATATCCAGTAAAGGGATTGCTGGGTCAAATGATATTTCTAGTTCCAGATCCCTGAGGAATCGCCACACTGACTTGCACAATGGTTGAACTAGTTTATAGTCCCACCAACACTGTAAATGTGTTCCTATTTCTCCACATCCTCTCCAGCACCTGTTGGTTCCTGACTTTTTAATGATTGCCATTCTAACTGGTGTGAGATGGTATCTCATTGTGGTTTTGATTTGCATTTCTCTGATGGCAAGTGATGATGAGCATTTTTCCATGTGTCTTTTGGTTGCATAAATGTCTTCTTTTGAGAAGTGTCTGTTCATGTCCTTCGTCCACTTTTTGATGGGGTTGTTTGTTTTTTTCTTGTAAATTTGTTTGAGTTCATTGTAGATTCTGGGTGTTAGCCCTTTGTCAGATGAGTAGATTGCAATAATTTTCTCCCATTTTGTAGGTTGCCTGTTCACTCTGATGGTAGTTTCTTTTGCTGTGCAGAAGCTCTTTAGTTTAATTAGATCCCATTTGTCAATTATGGCTTTTGTTGCCATTGCTTTTGGTATTTTAGACATGAAGTCCTTGCCCATGCCTATGTCCTGAATGGTATTGCCTAGGTTTTCTTCTAGGGTTTTTAAGGTTTTAGGTCTAACGTTTAAGTCTTTAATCCATCTTGAATTAATTTTTGTATAAGATGTAAGGAAGGGATCCAGTTTCAGCTTTCTACATATGGCTAGCCAGTTTTCCCAGCACCATTTATTAAATAGGGAATCCTTTCCCCATTTCTTGTTTTTGTCAGGTTTGTCAAAGATCAGATGTTTGTAGATACGTGGCATTATTTCTGAGGGCTCTGTTCTGTTCCATTGCTCTATATCTCTGTTTTGGTACCAGGACCATGCTGTTTTGGTTACTGTAGCCTTGTAGTATAGTTTGAAGTCAGGTAGTGTGATGCCTCCAGCTTTGCTCTTTTGGCTTAGGATTGACTTGGCAATGTGGGCCCTTTTTTGGTTCCATATGAACTTTAAAGTAGTTTTTTCCAATTCTGTGAAGAAAGTCATTGGTACATTGATGGGGATGGCATTGAATCTATAATTTACCTTGGGCAGTATGGCCATTTTCAGGATATTGATTCTTCCTACCCATGAGCATGGAGTGTTCTTCCATTTGTTTGTATCCTCTTTTATTTCATTGAGCAGTGGTTTGTAGTTCTCCTTGAAGAGGTCCTTCACATCCCTTGTAAGTTGGATTCCTAGGTATTTTATTCTCTTTGAAGCAATTGTGAATGGGAGTTTGTGATTTTTGCACATTGATTTTGTATCCTGAGACTTTGCTGAAGTTGCCTATCAGCTTAAGGACATTTTGAGTTGAGATGATGGGGTTTTCTAGATATACAATCATGTCATCTGCAAACAGGGACAATTTGACTTCCTCTTTTCCTAATTGAATACCCTTTATTTCCTTCTCTTGCCTGATTGTCCCGGCCAGAACTTCTAACACTATGTTGAATAGGAGTGGTGAGAGAGGGCATCCCTGTCTTGCAACAGTTTTCAAAGGGAATGCTTCCAGTTTTTGCCCATTCAGTATGATATTGGCTGTGGGTGTGTCACAGGGAGCTCTTATTATTTTGAGATACATCCCATCAATACCTAATTTATTGAGAGTTTTTAGCATGAAGTGTTGTTGAATTTTTTCAAAGGCCTTTTCTGCATCTATTGAGATAATCATATGGTTTTTGTCATTGGTTCTGTTTATATGCTGGATTATGTTTATTGATTTGCATATATTAAACCAGCCTTGCATCCCAGGGATGAAGCCCACTTGATCATGGCGGATAAGCTTTGTGATGTGCTTCTGGATTTGGTTTGCAAGTATATTATTCAGGATTTTTGCATTGATGTTCATCAGGGATATTGGTCTAAAATTCTCTTTTTTTGTTTTGTCTCTGCCTGGCTTTGGTATCAGGATGATGCTGCCCTCATAAAATGAGTTAGGGAGGATTCCTTCTTTTTCTATTGATTGGAATAGTTTCAGAAGGAATGGTACTTTAACACCCCACTGTCAACTTTAGACAGATCAACAAGACAGAAAGTTAACAAGGATATCCAGGAATTGAACTCAGCTCACCAAGTGGACCTAATAGACATCTACAGAACTCTCCACCCCAATTCAACAGAATATACATTCTTCTCAGCACCGCACCACACTTCTTCCAAAATTGATCACATAGTTGGAAGTAAAGCACTCCTCAGCAAATGTAAAAGAACAGAAATTATAACGAACTGTCTCTCAGACCACAGTGAAATCAAACTAGAACTCAGGATTAAGAAACTCACTCAAAACCGCTCAACTACATGGAAACTGAACAACCTGCTCCTGAATGACTACTGGGTACATAATGAAATGAAGGCAGAATAAAGATGTCCTTTGAAACCAATGAGAACAAAGCCACAACATACCAGAATCTCTGGGACACATTCAAAGCAGTGTGTAGAGGGAAATTTATAGCACTAAATGCCCACAGGAGAAAGCAGGAAAGATCTAAAATTGACACCCTAACATCACAATTAAAAGAACTAGAGAAGCAAGAGCAAACACATTCAAAAGCTAGCAGAAGGCAAGAAGTAACTAAGATCAGAGCAGAACTGAAGGAAATAGAGACACAAAAAACCCTTAAAAAAAATCAATGAATCCAGGAGCTGGTTTTTTGAAAAGATCAACAAAACTGATAGACCGCTAGCAAGATTAATAAAGAAGAAAAGAGAGAAGAATCAAATAGATGCAATAAAAAATGATAAAGGAGATATCACCACCGATCCCACAGAAATACAAACTACCGTCAGAGAATACTATAAACACCTCTACACAAATAAACTAGAAAACCTAGAAGAAATGGATAAATTCCTCGACACATACACCCTCCCAAGACTAAACCAGGAAGAAGTTGAATCTCTGAATAGACCAATAACAGGCTCTGAAATTGAGGCAATAATTAATAGCTTACCAACCAAAAAAACTCCAGGACCAGACGGATTCACTGCCGAATTCTACCAGAGGTACAAGGAGGAGTTGAGTTGACTTTTGTATGTGCTGAGACATAGTTACTTAGTTTCATTTTTCTCCATATGACAATTCAATTTTCCCAGCATCAGTTTTTGATATGGATGTCCTATTCTCAGTGTATGTTCTTGGTGAATTTATCAAAGATCAATTGAGTTTAAATATTTCGCTTTATTTCTGGGGTTCATATTCTGTACCGTTTTCTATATGTCTATTTTTATAGTGGTTCCATGCTATTTTGCTTATATAGCTTTGTAGTAAAATTTGAAGTCAGGTAATCTGATACCTCCACGTTTATTCATTTTGCTTGGGATACATTGACTATAAAGACTCTTTTTAGGCTTTATATAAATTTTAAAATGGTACCTTTTAATTTTCTTTAAAAAATGGTGTTTTGATGGAGATTATATTAAATTAGTAGATTTCTCTAGGCAGTGTGATTATTTTAATAGTAATTCTTCCAATGCATGAGCATGAAATATTGTTCCATTTGTTTTTGTTATCTACAATATATCTGTTTTTTATAGTTTTTATTATAGAAAGCTTTTATCTTCTTGCTTACGTATATTCCTAGGGTTATTTTTAGGCAATTGTAAATGCGATTGCCTTTTTGATTTTATCAGCTAGATCATTATTGGTGTATAGAAATGCTATTGATTTTTTGTATGCCAATTTTGTATCCTGGTGTATAGAAATGATATTGATTTTTTGTATGTTAATTTTGTATCCTGAGATGTTATTGGTTACTGAATTCATTTATAAAATATAGGCATGTTTCATTTTTCAGTTTTGTTTTTCTAGGTACAACATCACATTTTCAGCAAACAGGTATATTCGACTTCCTCTCTTTTCAATTTGGTTGTGTTTTTTGTATTTTTTTTTCTCTTGCCTGATTGCTCTGACTAGGAATTATACTACCATGTTAAATATAAATGGTAGAAGTTGATATCCTTGTTTGGTTTGAGTTATTAGAAGAAATGTTTTCAAATTTTCCCCAGTCAGTATGATGTTGAGTGTCACCTTGTCATATGCGATCTTTATTATATTGAGTCATTTTTCTTCTCTGTGTAGAATGCTGTATTTTATTAAGTGCTTTTTATATATCTATTTTGATGATTTTTTATTGTGTTTATGTGATGTATCACATGCATTGATTTACATATGTTGAACCATTCTTGCATACCTGGTTTAAGTCCATTGGATTATGGCGTACTATCTTTTTCATGTGCTGCTGGATTCAGTTTGCTACCATATTGGAGGGTTTTTGTCTCTTTCTCCTTGAAGGATGTTGATATTCTGTTTTCATTATTTTTTCTTTTTTCTGATTTTGATATCAAGCTGACATTGGCCTTGTAGAATGAGTTACCATTTACTCCTTACTTCTCAATTTTTTTGAATAATTTCTAAAGAATTGGTGCAGTTCTTCATTTATTTGGTAGAATTTGGCTGTGAATCCATCTTATCCTGAGCTTTTATTTATTCAAATACTTTTTTATTACTGATTCAATCTGTACTAAATATTAGACTTTTCAGGTTTTCTGTATCTCCTTGCTTTAATCTTGGGAGGCTGAGTGTTTCCAGAAATTTGTCTGTTTCCTGTAGATTCTCTAGTTTGTGTGCCTATAGTTGTTCTTATACTCTGATTACCTTTTGTATATCTGTAGCATCAAATGTAATATCATCTTTTTCATTTCTAATTTCATCTATTTGGAGCAACTCTCTTATTTTTTAGGTTAGTCTACCTAAGAGCTTGTCATTTATCTTTTTGAAGAAACAACTTTTTTTTTCATTGATCCCTTTAACTGTTTCTTTTTTTTTGGTCTCTATTTTATTTAGTTAATTAAGCTCTGAACTTTATTTTTTTTTTTTAATTCTGTTAATTTTGTGTTTGACCACTCTTGCTTTTCTAGTTCTTTGAGATGTGACATTAGGCTGTTAATTTGTAATCTCTGATTCTTTGATGTAGGTTTTTAATGCTATAAACTTTTCTTTTAGCACTGCTTTTGCTGTATTCCACATGTTTTGGTATGCTGTGTTTTCATTTTTATTTGTTGCATTGTATTAAATTTATGGCTTTATTTCTTCATTGAGCCAATGATTGTTCAGAAGCATGATGTTTAATTTCCATGTTTGTATATTTTCTAAAGTTCCTTTTGATATTGATTCCTAGATTTTTCCACTGTGATCTCAGAAGATAATTGATATGATTATATTCATTTAAATTTGTTGAGACTTATTTTGTTATCTAAAGTGGTCTCTCAGCTTCATATGCTGATGTGTCGAATATACATTCTACAGTTGTTGAGCATAGTGTTATGTAAATATCTGTTAGGCTCATTTTGTCTAAAGCTTAATTTGTTTAATTTTTGTTAATTTTCTTTTTCAATGTTTTCTAATGTTGTGACTGGAGTGTTGTAGTCCTCTACTTTTATTTTGTTGTCATCTATGTCCTTCTTTAGATATAATAGTGTTTATTTTATGTATCTGAGTTATCTTGTGTTGGATTCATTTATACTTAGAATTGTTATATCTCTCTGCTGAATTGGTCCCTTTATCATTATATAATAATCTTATTTATTTATTTTTATTTATTTAGTTTTTAACATTTTTTTACTTAAAGTGTAGTTTATCTGAGTATAGCTACTGCTGGTCTCTTTTGGTTTCCATTTGTGTGAAACATCTTTCCCCACCCCTTTACTTTCGGTCTACGTGCCTTTGTGGATAAGGTGAGTTTCTTGTAAGCAGCATATAGTTTGATGATTTTTAAAAATCCATTCTACCAATCTATTTTAAGGGACCACTTAATCAATTTATGTTCAAAGTTAATAATGATTTTTACATTTTGTTTCTGCATATTGTTAAGTGTTTTATACTTGTTTTATAAATTATATGTTTCTTTTTCTCTGTCTTTGAAGTTAAGTAGAATTCTATAGTGAAGGCAATTGATTCCTTTCTATTTCTCCTTTGTGTGATTCTTTTATCTACGAGTTTTATACTTTCATGTGCTTTCACAATGGTGAATATTGATTGTCTTTTATTTCTACATTTAGAATACCTTAGAGCATTTTTTGTGTAGTCGATCTTGTGATGATTAATTACTTGTGCATTTGCTTGTCTGAGAATGGCTTCATTTCTTTATTACTTATAAAGTTTAATCTTGCTTCACATAGTATTCTTGGCTGGTTGTTTTTTTCTTTCAGCACTTTGAATATGCCATCCTATTCTCTTGTGGCCTGTAAGGGCTCTGCTGAGCAGTTGTTATCAGTCTTACAGGCTTTCCTTTAGAGATGACTAGACAAGTTTCTCTTGCTGATTTCAGAACTATTTCCTTCAGTTTGTCTTTAGAAAATCTGATTATAGTATTGAGACGTCCTTGCGGGAGGGGGTCCCCAGAAATACTCCAAATGACCCATGCACTGGAGATGTGCACTGAGGTGGAGCCACAAAAATTCACACTGTTTGCAGTAAGGAGGAGCCTGGCCCCTTTTCTTTCTGTGTGGAACCTGGGATTTGAACAGCCGGATGGGAAGCACTCTACCAGGGACCCCAACTTTAGCTGAACTAAGGAAAATTCCTGCAACATTTTTTGGCACCCTACGTGGGGCTTGATAAGTGGTGAATAAAATGGGGACTCAAAACCTCTCACTGTGGCTTCTAAGCCTTTTCATCCTCAGATGTCTGAGCTTACAGGAAACTGCACCCTCACACCCGTATCACTCCAGGGGGTTGGGGGCCTTTTCACAGGCTTTTCTTTTTTGGAAAAGACTGACAAACAGCAGCTCCCCTCTACCCTCCCCTCTGTACTGGGTTGGAGTTACATGATCCAAGGTGCCTGGGGCAGCTGGCTGGTTTCCAACCACACTACCAGAACCCTCTCTTCCTCTGCCAAGGGGTTCGGCTCCACTGGACAGTAATTAAACTATTTTCCCTGTTGGAGGAACCACTTGCATAAGAACAAAAGGTTCTTTCCTAGGCATTTTTACACCTTTCTTTTCTTCCCCTTCACTACCCCACAGCAGTTAACCTTTAAAGAATTTTTTTTTCCTCTTAGAAGACATTGTTTATGACTGCATAGTATTCCATGGTGTATATGTGCCACATTTTCTTAATCCAGTCTATCACTGTTGGACATTTGGGTTGGTTCCAAGTCTTTGCTATTGTGTTAGTGGGTGCAGCGCACCAGCATGGCACATGTATACATATGTAACTAACCTGCACAATGTGCACATGTACCCTAGAACTTAAAGTATAATAAAAAAAAAAGACATTTTTACTAGGCCAGGCCTCACAACTTTTACTGTTTATATTTCCTGTGAAATTTTGGTTGTGAAATGAAGCCTCCGTTTTGTTTTACATCCTGAGGGGATAGCTTGTAACTTTGGTGGGAGACTTTGTTTACCAATCCTGCCTTAGGGAAAGTTTCTTTAAGACTTGATACCTGCTTGTTCTCCTAGCCCTGTCTCTTAACAAACCCACCTGGGGACTGGGTTTTCCCCTCCCTGTCTGTGTGTGTGATGTGTCTAATGTCTGTAAAAAGTGCTCTAATTAATTTGGCCTAAAGAAAGATAAATGCTTGGATCTAATATTTTTTAAGGGAACATAAAATCTGTGGTGCCCTTCTTTTTGGGTGACTTTAATCTTTAAGAAATAAAAACTTCCCTAAAGATTCTTGGTAAAATTCAGATCAGATGCAAGATTTGCTAAGTGTTTTAAGGTAACAAACTGCTTTTTGGGTTTTGAGAACTATTTGACTTGCCGGCTTCACAACTGGTAGGGCCTGGGGACATATGAAACTAACTACAACCCTAATTAAGAAGGCAAATGTTGACTGCACTTAGGACACAATTAAAGAAACTGAACAGGTTTTACCTTAAAGTTAAAAATCGCTAGGAGATAACTAAAACTACTAAAAATAGATTTGAACAGTGAATTTTTTTTTTTTTTGACGGAGTCTCGCTCTGTCATCCAGGCTAGAGTGCAGTGGTGCAATCTCCACTCACTGCAAGCTCCGCCTCCCAGGTTCACGCCATTCTCCTGCCTCAGCCTCCCAAGTAGCTGGGACTACAGGTGCCTGCCACCACGCCTGGCTAATTTTTTGTATTTTTAGTAGAGACGGGGTTTCACCATGTTAGCCAGGATGGTCTTGATCTCCTGACATCAGTGATCCACCCACCTTGGCCTCTCAAAGTGCTGGGATTATAGGTATGAGCCAATATGCCTGACTGAAATGTGTTTTTTAATAAAAAGTTATAAGAAGGCATGGAAATGTAAACTTTTGCCTAGGATTAAAGAATTGTTTTGAGTTAAATTAGGAAAAAGCTGAAGGTTCAAAGAAGAGATGGAAGAATTGTGGAAATTAATCTTGCAGAAGAGGTTCTCTGTGGGAACATATTGACTAAATTTTTTTAAAAAAGGTATTATATGTATTTTCTGTAAATTAAGCATTCGAATAAAAGCATAACAAGGTTTTCCTAAGGCACTAATGTGCTCTTTGGCAAAATTTGTAAAGGGTTATAAAAGGTTTATGCTTCTTTCAAATATCTGAGTCATCATTTTGGCAAAATAATTTATGGTAATCTGAAATCCTATTTTATAATATCAAGTGTTTCAAACCTCAAACATTTAGCAGCCTTCCCAAAAGCTAACTTCAGTTTCAAAATTGTCTTTCCTGGTAGCTGGCTTTTCGAATATGTCAGATGGCCCCTGAAGTGTCCATAAAAGAGAACTAAACAGGATTAGCTGACACATTTAGGTACACGGGATGGCCAAAATGATGCTCAATCTTTTTTAGGTTATATCTTGGTAAATAATGCTGATGTATGTTCCAAAATTGTATGGGATTTCTAAAATTCTAATATCTGAGTATATGCTGTCAATCATAATTAAGGTTTTATGTTACTTTAAACCACAGAGGTAACTAAACTTCTTTATCAATTGTGTTCATAACTGCAACTACCCTGGACATTTTGCTATACACAGACAATTGTTGTCTTGTTTTAATTATTTTCAAAAGATGGTTTATAATAAACTATAGAACTTTAAAAGGTGCTTTCAAATACAAACTTCCAATAACATTGGAAATTGAAACATTAGAATAAAGGAAAATATACAGGACTAATGAAGAGCTGAAATGTTAAGGAATATCAAGCAAAACAAGAGTTAACTAAGTGAACTGAACTCAGGAAGCTAAAGTAAACTTTCTGACTTTTGCTTGGAATATTGCTGATCCATGTTTTGTTTTTCACACTCAAGGAAACTTGTTTTGAACTATTTATGGCCTTTAATAAATAAGTAACATATACTCCTGTGATCAAGATTTGGAGCATGTTTGTTTCTCTCTGCCTGTTCCTCTAGAATTTGAAAACTAACTGTGAGTATCATTATGGAAATATAGTTGTTTACATCAGTGCAATAAGAATCCATTTTTTCTTTTGCTATGGAACAGAATTGGAGAAAGTGGTTATTTTACCAAAGCTTCTACTGGAAAAATATGCTTCCTTTTAAGGAGTCAATGTCAACTTGCAGACTAAATAAAAGCCCCGTGGGGAGATTGGCATCTAACCCTTGTTTACGCAGTCTCTGTACAGGGAGTCTGACCTGTGGTCAGTAAAGAATGTCACTTTCTAACAGGCCCAGGAGCTCCAAGTTTATTATGGGGCCTTAAGAGGAAAGGATCACCCAACTCACAGGTAACTAAGGATGCAAATCCACAGTTGGGCTTGGCTTTAAAAGGCCTTTTCTGAGATTACTTATGGAATGAACTTCCATCAAAGCCAATCCCAAAAGCCTATGTAGAGATAATTATTATTGCTGCACTTTCTGCAAATAATCAGACCAAGTATAAAACGAAAGCCTATTTTGCAAGCCACTCAGTCCTATGATGATTTGTGTTTTAATAAACACAACTGGAGAGAGAGAAATCATGTGTCAAAATTTATCATATATTTTTAATTAAATTCTAAACTCACTAGTTGTTTTTAAGTTTTAACCTACATTTCAGACTAACCTTGCTTGTTCCTGTGAACCTACCAGCAATCTCCAGCTGGAACTCAGAAAGTACAAGAGAAATGGGTAATATAAAAATCTGGATCAATATTCTAGTTCTGAACAATTATCCTGCAAATCCTGACAGTTGATGAGAATAAACGCGATGCCCATTACTTGGAGTTTTTCTTTTTGGGAAAGTAAGACCAAGGGAGCTAATCAGAGCTAAGCCTCATGCATCCAAATCTTAGCAGGCATAACTATAGACACCAGTTATCTGGGTGGGTCACAAGACATCTTTTCCTCTCCCTTGTTGGAGAAGGACTCAGTTCCACAGTTTCACCTTATCTTTCAGCTTATGACAGGACCATGCAAGCCCCTGAGGCACATTTTTTCCCAAACTCAATTCCAAGCTTTGGGTCAAAGCCCTAGGAAGGAAAACTGGATGTGAGGTATTCAGAGGCAAATGACAACAGAGGTTTAAAGGCACAGCACAGTTGACCATGGCTGATTCCTGCCAATAAGCCAACCCCAATCTTCCTGTTTCATGGATAAAGACCACATTAGTATCCACGGTATAAATGAGATCTAGGGAACTCTAAGGTTACTGACAGTAGGTAGGTAAGAGACATAGGTTAGAGTGGATAATTCCTATTCTCTAGGCCCTCCTTGCTTCATGGGTGCAAGCTGCTTTAACAACCATGGCAGCACCTGCCTAGGTCGCTTGAATTCGGGAATGCAAGGATGGAAGAAGGAAAAAAGAATGTTCTTCCTTCTCTCCCTCATGCTCCCTGGGTATCTGCTTGAAAGAAAAGGAAACCAGGGATGCCCACTCCCCTCTTTCTAAATGGGTAGCCATTTATCTTCAGTTTGTATACCTTTAGAATGCATCCTGAACCCGTGGGACTCCTTTGAAAAAATGCCTTCCTTTTTTTTTTTTTTTTTTTTTAAATTTTTTCTCCTCTGTCCTCTCTTCACCGATAGGTAATTGTGTCTCTGTACTACGTGACACTCCCATTGGATGCATCCTCCAATCTGGAAAGAGTTAATTTCCTAAACCTTAAACTGGTTGGCTTAGTATTGGGCTCAGGGGAAGGGAACCCAACAGTCATGAAACTGGAGCCTCTGATGATTGTCCCTTCTGCTGGGAACCCTTAGATAGGCCTCCGAGGGAGATCTGACTGCCGTTTCCCCAGGACAGCGCCACCTATCAACAGGAAACAGGTAAGATCCGTCTTTGTTCTTACACTTGATTTAATGGCAGTAAGATGTACTTCTTTAGCGGGGGAATGAGACAGCCAGGTGGGAGGGGGGTCCCCAGAAATACTCCAGCTGACCTGCACACTGGAAATGCATGCTAGGGTGGAGCCACAGAAATTCACGCTATCTGCAGCAAGGACGAGTCCTTTCTCCTCCTGTGTGAAACCTGGGATTCAAACGGCTAGGTGGGAAGCACTGTAGCAGGAACTTTGGCCTAGCAAGAGTCCCTGTTTCCCCCTTTTCTTCCTTTTCACCCAATAAAACCCTGCTTTCCTCACCCTTCAAACACCTGCAAGCATAAATTTTTGTGGCTGTGGGAGAAACAAGGACCCTTTCTTTAGCTGAACTAAGGAAAAGTCCTGCAACAATGACTTTTGGTGATGTCCTTTTTTTGCAATGTATTGTTTCTAGAAATTGCTAGGCATCTCTGTTGGAGTATCTAAAGCTCTTGATAGATTTGGGAAGTTTTTTCAATGATTTCGTTAATAGGTTTTCTAAACTTTTTTCATAATTTCTCCCCTTTGGAATACTAATAATTCTTAAGTTTTATTACTTTATGTAGTTTCAAATTTCTTGAAAGCTTTATTTAAAAATGTGTATTAAAAATATGACTGTATTATTTCAAAACACTTGTCTTCAAATTCTGCTGTTGTTTTCTTCTGCTTGGTATAGTTTATTGTCTAATCTTTCAAGTATACTTTATAATTCCTCTAAAAAATTTTTATTACCAGAATTGTTGTCTGATTTTTTAAGACTATATCTGTCTCTTTGATAAACTTGCCATTCATAGTACCTTGCTTTTTTATGTTTCCTTTATCTTTATGTGGATTTCTGCACAACTAGAGCAGCAGATTATTTTTATTTTTGAATTTACTTTTGTTGAGGGGAACTTTTTCTTGACGATATTACTATAATATTGGTTGGGTAGAGCTGTCTGACTTGGCTTTTGGGTGTGTGACACTGTATAATTCTCTGTAATTTCATTTGCTGTAAATAGCCTTAGTGGTTTCTGTGCATTCTTTGGTGTGTTAGAGTGTGGTTATTGGTAGGGGCTGTGGTAAGGTTGTGCTGGGGACTGAAATGCGTGATGGGTCCTTCCTCAGGTTCCAGTGGTAGTAGTGGTGGGATAAGTTTGTCTATCCTTGTGCCTTTGGGCAGCATATTCTGGCACCTGTGTTGACAGTTTTAAGCAGGCAGATTATTGGCCTTCTGGGTAACTTTCTTGGATGCCAATTGTACTCATTGCTAGGAGTGTACCAGTCAGGGGAGCAGGCCCTCAACCTCCTGTGGCATCTGGGTGGGCATGGGTGATGGCAGTAGCAGTAGTCATGAGAAGCTCTTCTAGTTACCATGGATTATGCTCTTGTGCTAGCAGTTGTTGCAATGGGTATGTAGGCTTGCCTCTAGGCAACTACTTGGTGCTTGCAGGTAAAATTCAGCTTAATGGTTGTGATGGGATTTATGCCTGACTTGTGTTCCCTGGTAGAAGTGGTCAGGTGTTTCAGGTGTTGGATTAGGTTGCAGAACCCCCAGAGGCCTGGATCTTATTCTCTGAATCAGAGCAGGGACAAAGTTGGGTAGATGTAAACAAGGAAAACTTGCACTTATACTCTTCATTAGAGGGTGCATGCATTAGCTTTGATGGGAGTGGTGGGACAGTCCTCAGGCAACTTGTAAACATCAAGACTAGAAATTTGAAGAGCATGTATTTGTGTGTGTATATATATGTATGTATTTCATAAATAGTTCAATTGTGTATTAAATATATGGTTAATTTCAAAGTGAGGTGGTTTTCCTTGAGAACCACTCAGACTAACTGACCATTTCTGTTAGAAAGGAAGGCTATTTCTTTCTCTGCAAGAGAAGAAGGCTGTTATCTTACTGTCTCTTGAACAGTTTGTAATGTCACAAAAAATAGTGACAAAACAAAGACAGGTTGCATTTTTGTCTTTTTATATAGTCTAAAATATCTTAGGAGTCTTTTCTGAGCCAAGAGGAGACTGTTGGTTCTTTGATAACATATCTTTTAAAAAATCCACTTAAGAGATTTTGGAGGCACCATTAATCAGAGGACATGGGGTATACCACTAGGGCTGAAAGCTAATGGACATGTCAGAAAAGTTCACCCCGGAAGAACGAAAGCCATGCCCTGCATATGTGAAAAGCATGGTTTGCCATAAGGACATTCCAAATTATCTATGTGCCTACAGTTATGTTTGGACAGCTTCCATAAACAGGACTCTGGCAGTCAGGAGAGAAATTCAAATATGATTACAATATAAGTCCTTCCTTTAATCAACTCAACACAATACTGCCTCAACCTGGAAATAACCAGAAAGGAGAGACAAAAAAATTAATTTAAAAAACAGACCATTTCCAATTATTTTACTGTCGGTGCCTGTACCAAATTGAGTTCCAATCTGGGTTGAGGAGAAGCTTTGAAAAGCATCCAGAATCAATGTTTTACATTTAACTAGAATATAACATTTTTTTCAATAAGTGAAGCATTAAAATTTTAAATTAAAAATGTAAGAAACTTAATTGAAATATAAAAACGGTTCCTATATTTGAACCCCAGAAGCCATTAAATCTGATGAGAGTTTTTCAAAGGTTAATTTAGAATGAGTCAATAAATATCATGGAAGGCAACAATGGGGAAAAAAGCCATTACTCATGTGTATCACAAATATAGAAAATTTTAAATTAAACTGATTACTAATGAGAATAATTTGTATTAGGTATGATGGATGGTTTTTACTTATATATGACCATGATGATCAGTTAAATTTATTCTAACCAACAGTACATTGAGTTGTTCTAGTTGCATATATTTTCCAACCAGAACAACTCAGTGAGGAAAATGCAAAATAAGGGTAATATTTTTTGAATACCCTTACAGTATCAGTTACTTTGCATATACTGTATCTTAGTTCATTATTTTTAATACTTACTACAGCACTTCAATATGTGGGAGTTTTGTTTTGAAAAGAAACAATGAGAAATAACAATTACACTTCCTAAAATAATGACTAATACACAATTAGATGACCATCACAATACTCCTATCATTTCAAGGCAGGTTTTAGGACAAATGACTGACTTATCTATATAAATTTAAGTTTTCAAAGAATATATTTTCTTTTAATATTAGTGGAAAAAATTAACAGGAAGCTGGCATATTCATTAGGTGAAATAAGTGAAACAAACTCCATTGATACAAAATGGGAAAGTATTCTGTTACTTGTATATTTGGAACATACAGGTTATGATAATGTAAACTGGATGATGTGAATTATCTCACAGAGGTTAAGTTTAGGTGATTATATTAAAGTCAGTAAGTAGGAAATTGCTATAATTTGCACTAACGGGAGTGTCAAGGTCATATACAAACCCTATGTAATCCAAAAAAAGAAAAAAAATAGTATTAATAACAAAAAAATCAGTTGAAAGGGCATATAATTAAGCTAAAATTAAATAAAATTCATAAAGTGAAGACACAATTTAAATATTAGTTCAGGAAACAGGATGAGAGATTCAAACTGAAAGAAATAATGACTAAGAGCAAATCAGTCAGGAAAGTAATATAGCATTACAAAGTGTCCCTAACAGCAGTAGTGCTAAATACTTGAAGACTATATGAATGTTGACTGCTTTAGAAACTTGGTCAAAGTGATCATAAGACCCTAGGCAAAATAATAATGGATATGGTATCCAAGTTGCTCAGACAGTCATAGATTTGACTGGACGTATATATCACAGTCAGTCTAAAAGGGTGAAGGGGAAAATATGCACAAGACTAAAGGGAAGGTGGGATGTGCTAAGCATAGAAATAAGCTGTGCTGCTGAAATAATGCTGAAAATAGTATATTGTATTTTCAGAAAAAAAAGTATAGTAGAATACTAAAGTAGAAAGACTCTACTATAACTAAGAGACCACTTGACATAAAATTATATATTTGTTAATATATATCCAATTTGTGAAAAACAAGGTACTGTAATAATAAAATATTGAAAATATTATCTAAGCATACTTAATATACTTTTAAAACTATTGAGAACAATTAATAACTTTGGGTTTTTAAAGAAGCAATCAACTGAATAAGACCTAAAACTAAATCTCTTTATAGTGGAAAAATAACATAAGTTCTAATGCTGCTTTCTATAAAGAGTATAGAGAGGAAACATGGTATAAGTGTATAAGTTCACTTTTAGAATACATTTAACATTTGTTACAAGACAGAAACATGATTCTAAACATTTAGCTAAAAACAACAATAAACATTAAATACATTAGAAACCAGAATATTAGTATTTTATATATGTGTATGTGTGTGTGTGTGTGTGTGTTTGTGTCTGTGTTTGTGTGTTGTGTATGTGTGTGAATGACAGAGGCTTTTTTCTAGTAGTTCCTCCCAGAAAATCTGTCTGTAAAAAATCTTGGTCAAAATATGCAGAAATGTACAATTGGAAATATGTCTCTGGCTGTGTTTAAACTTTGTAATGAAGATGCACAATTGAAAGAGATTCTTTGTCACTGGCCTGTCTGGAACAACTATGCCCAGAGAATGTAGAAATAGCTATGAGGATAATCGATCTGTATGCTAACCCTACCTCAGAAACCAATTCACACTGACCTTGTTCAAGTTACTTAACTGTTCTTAAGCTTTCCCATCTGAAGCAATAAAGACCTTATCTAGCGGTGAGTTGTGGGTATTGATTAGCAAATGTTCTGAGAGTTCTGTGCAGATGGAAGAAACAGGACATAAAGGATAAATGAAAATTTTATAGACAAGGAGGCTTCAGTTAAGGCTTTCAATGATCATATACACGTTCATCTCACTATTAAAAATAAATAAATTGGGCCGGGTGTGGTGGCTAACGTCTGTAATCCCAGCAATTTGGGGGGCCAAGGCAGGTGGATCACCTGAGATCGGGAGTTTGAGACCAGCCTGACCACCAATATGGAGAAACCCCGTCTCTACTAAAAGTACAAAAATAGCTGGGCTTGGTGGTGCATACCTGTAATCCCAGCTACTTGGGAGGCTGAGGCAGAATTGATTGAACCTGGGAGGTAGAGATTGTGGTGAGCCAAGATTGAGCCATTGCACTCCAGCCTGGGCAACAAGAGCAAAACTTTGTCTCAAAAAAATAAAAAATAAAAATAAATAAAATAAATAAGTTGGAAAGGTGACATTTTAAAAACACATGAAGATGCAAGTATTAAAGATTATAGTTATTAAAAGACAATCTATAATATATTGGTTGCCTACCTTATTTTATTACAATTACTCAAAATAAATAACTGACACACATATACCAGCAAAAATTCTCATAGGATGGAACTAAATAAAATTTTCTACATACGAATATGCATTTAAAAAGTAAAAACTGCTCAAATTGTGTTTTAAAACCATGAATTACTATGTGCAAGATAAATTCCTGAGTCTTAATAAAATTTAATATTATCTGTGTGATGATAACCATAAAAGGCAAATTTTAGTGCAATTTTGGTATAGTATAAATTATTTATCAATATCTAATTTGAAATATATAAACTACAAACTGTGAGACTCTTCAAAATAAATATTTGTTATAAAACCATATAGAATAATTTGTAGGCATATTAATTCAGCCAACTAGTTTGCTTATATGTAACAATCATTTTTACTAGCTGTATTAGTCTGTTCTCATGCTGCTAATAAAGACATACCTCAAACTGGGTAATTTATTTAAAATAAAAAAAGATGTTGAATGGACTCACAGCTCCATGTAGCTGGGAAGACCTCACAATCATGACAGAAAGCAAAGAAGGAGAAAAGTCACACCTTACATGGCAGTAGGCAAGAGAGAGAGCATGTGGAAGGGAACTCCCCTTTATAAAACCATCAGATATTGTGAGACTTATCACTATCAAGAGAACAGCACAAAAAAGACACATGCCCATGATTCAGTTTCCTCCCACTGTATCTCTCCCATGACACATGGAAATTATGGGAGCTACAGTTTGAGATTTGGGTGGAGATACAAAGCTTAACCATATCATTCCAATCCTGGCCACTCCCAAATCTCATGTCCTCACATTTCAAAACTAATCATGCCTTCCAAACAGTCCGCAAAGTCTTAACTAATTTCAGCATTAACTGAAAAGTCCACAGTACAAAGTCTCAATTGAGACAAGGCAAGTTCCTTCCCCTCTGAGCCTGTAAAATCAAAAGCAAGTTAGTTACTTCCTAGATACAATGCGGGGTACAGGCATTCCTAGATACAATAGGAGGTATATCCATTCCAGTTGAGATAAATCGTCCAAAACAAAAGGGTTACAGCCACATGCAAGTCTGAAATCTAATAGAGTAGTAATTAGGCCTTAAAGTTCCAAAGTGATATCCTTTGACTTCATGTCTTACATCTAGGTCATGCTGATGAAAAAGGTAGGTTCCCATGGCCTTGGAAAGCTGCACCCCTGAGGCACTGCAGGGTATAGCCCCCCCTCCTGGCTGCTTTCATGAGCTGGCTTTGAGTGTCTTTGGCTTTTCTAGTTTCATGGTGCAAGCTGCTATTGAATGTACCATTCTGGGGGATGGTGGACAGTAGCCCTCTTCTCACAACACCAGTAGGCAGTACCCAATGAGGACTCTGTGTAGAGGCTCCAGCTTCAGAATTCCCTACCACAATGCTCTAGCAGAGGTTCTGCATGAGGGCCCCATCCCTGAAGCAAACTTCTGCCTGGACATCCAGGCATTTCCCTACATCTACTGATATCTAGGTGGAGGTTACCAAACCTCAGTTCTTTACTTATGTGCACCAACAGGATCAACACCACGTGGAAGTTGCCAAGACTTGGGGCTTGTAACCTCTGGAGCCATGGCCATGGCTGTACCTTGGCCCCTTTTAGCCACAGCTGGAGCAGCTGGGATGCAGGGCACTAAGTCCTTAGGCTGCACACAGAACAGGGGCCCTTGGCTAGGCCCACAAAATGATTTTTTCTTCTGAGGCCCCAGGCTTGTGATGGGAGAAACTGCCATGAAGTCTTTGACATGCCCTGGAGATGTTTTCCCCATTATCTTGGTGATTAACATTGGGCTTCTTATTACTTATATAAATTTCTGCAGCAGGCTTAAATTTATTCACAGAAAATGGGTTTTTCTTTTCTACTGCATTGTCAGGCTGCAAGTTTTCCCAATTTTTATGCTCTGCTCCCTCTTGAACATCTTGCCGCTTAGAAATTTCTTCCCCGAGGTACCCTAAATTGTCTCTCTCAAGTTCAAAGTTCAACAGATCTCTAGGGCAGGGACAAAATGTCATCACTTTCTTTGTATAGTGAGTGACCTTACTCCAGTTTCTAACAAATTCCTCATCTCCATCTGAGACCACCACAGCCTGGACCTTATTGTCTATATCACTATCAACATTTTTGTCAAAGCCATTCAACAAATCTCTAGGACGTTCCAAACTTTCCTGCATTTTCCTGTCTTCCTCTGAGTCCTCCAAACTGTTACAATCTCTGGCTGTTACCCAGTTCCAAAACTGCTTCCACATTTTTGGGAATCTTTACAGCAGCACCCCACCACCTAATACTAATTTAATGTATTAGTCTGTTCACACACTGCTAATAAATTAGTCTCATGCTGCTGAGACTGGGTAATTTACAAAGAAAAAGAGGTTTCATTTTCTCACAGTTCTGCCTGCGTGGGGAGGCCTCACAATCATGGTGAAAGGCAAAGGAGGAGCAATGTCATGTTGTACATGGCCACAATCAAGAGACAGTGTGTTCAAGGGAACTCCCCTTTATAAAACCATCAGATCTTGTGAGACTTAATCACCGTCATGAGTGTAGCGTGGGAAAGACCCATCTCATTATTCAATTACTTCTCACTGGGTCTCTCTCACAACATGTGAGAATTATGAGAGCTACAATTTGAGATATGGGTGGAGACACAGCCAAACTGTACCACTAGCTCTATAAAAAGCAAGAAATGTATAAATCAAGTTATAAATGTATAAATTTTATTATAAACTTTAATGTATTGTATCCCATTAATGGTAGATGAAACAAAACTAATGAATTTTTTAGGATTAAAAAATAATCTCAGAGCCATTAGTTTGACATTTTTTCCTTTCCCCAGCCTTCTTCTGAATATCACTTTCAGCCTGAAGACCATAAAAATGGCTTTAAGCTGGGCATGGGGCACTTACCCCTATCCCAGCACTTTGGAAGGTCAAAGCAGGAGGATGTCTTGAGCTCAGAAGTTATAGATGAGCCTGGGCAAAATAGTGGGATTTCATCTCTACAAAAATAAAAAGAAAAAGAAAGAAATAAATTTAAGATTTTCCAAAGTTTATATTATTTTATTTTTAAATCATGTTTTTCTTGGTCTCCAATAAATGTGAACTATACTATTTTATTGCTCCTGAACCTTCTCTGAATTTTCAAAATAGACAGAACAAAAGACAAAATAGAAAAAGGGCAGTTCCCTAATTCCCTATGAAGAAAATGTAGTGTTAAAATAAATATTTTAATACAGGCTTATGATAAAGTATACGCTTTGTAAAAAAATTTACATCCATATGCTTCAAATATCTGCTTAATTATTCTTCTGTGGATATATTTAGAGGACTGAATATCTTCATATGTTCTTGATGTAAGAAAAAAAACTGGAAGACATTACGTTAGACATATGTGTTCAAACTCTTTTGGTATCAAATAATTAAACTTGGCATTCAATTACCAATGACTGCCTAAGCCATTTTCTACAGCTTAACTGGTTTAACGTTTTAACATTAAAACAGATCAGTAGTAGCCAAGTTAGTATTAGCTTCATCTCAGATTCTATTTTTATGCTCTAAAGGACCATGCAAACCATTAGGTTAAGTTTTACAAATAAACTATCACTGTGAAAAGATTTTTAAAACGAAATAAACCTCTAAGAAAAATGTGAAAGAATTATCTTGGTCATATATTTTGAGAATACAATCATGTATTACTTAATGACAAGGATATATTGTAGGAAATGCATGGTTAGGTTATTTTATCATTGTGCAAACATCATGACTGTACTACACAAACTGAAATGATATAACCAATAACACACCTATGCTATATGGTATAACCTATTGCTCCTAGGCTGCAAACCTGTACAGTATGTTACTGTGATGAACACTGTAAGCAACTTTAACACAATGATAAATAGTTGTATATTGAAACATACTTAACTATAGAAAAAGAACAGTAAAACAGGGTATTATAATCTTATATGACACCACTGAATTTGTAGTTCATTGTTAACTGAAATGTTGTTTTGTGGTACATGATGGTATATTAATTTTAATGAAGATAAAATGTTTCAGGTTGTTTTGTTTGAGGATTATTATCACCAAATAATAAATGATATCTCTAGAATGTGATAACAGCATGCTAGAATTTGATCATGTAAAATAGTTTCATTTTCAGGCTTGTTGTTGTTTCTGTGATACACTGTATGTTTTCAGCAGTATCTGGAACAGGTGTAACCTAGTAACTAAGATGCCTAACTTTGGAATCTGTCTTCAATTTGTCAGCTTATTTTACCTTAAACAAAGGATTTATGCTCTCTAGGCTTTTTGCTTATATGAGAAACAAATGGAGATAATAAGAATGAGTATGACATAAAATGTTTGTGAGAATAATGAAAAGCAACCCAATCTGAAGAAATATGACTGCGAAGAATATATACTAAATGCCCTGAAAAAGGGTATCTGTGGTTATAGCCATGATTGACTCTGTATTATCGCTTATTAATAAATATGAATTTCGTTTCAATTATCTTTTAATTTAGTTATGTGATTTTAAAAAGGTTGTTGTATTTTTACATAAGACTAGGAACACAGAAATTCCTAATTGTTTGCCAGTAGCATCTATTTCACATTTTATAAGAAAATTAATGGAAAAAGTGTGTTAAGACATGTTCATTTGACGTACAAACTTTGCTAAGACATATCCATCAATCATTCCATGGTAAACATTTGTAACATTTCACTCTTCTCAAGATAAACCAAAGGCTCTCCCATGTTATTATATTAGGAACATTACTGCTAATGTGATTTTATAAACATTCTCCATGTATATCACTGTCTGAATCTGCACACTGAAGCTAAATGTTATATTTAATTTTATTTGTGGCAGAATAAAAAGTTGTTAAGGAGCAAACGTTCCATTTCCGTTGGAAATAGAACCTTATGGCTGGAAATAGTGGCTTATGCTTGTAATCTTATCACTTTGTGAGGTCCAGGCAGGAAGATTTCTTGAGCCCAGGAATTCAAGACCAGCTTGGGCAACATAGTGAGATCTTGCCTCCACTAAAAATTAAAAATTCAGCAGGGCATGGTGGTGCATGCCTGTAGTCCCAGCTGCTTGGGAGGTTGAGGTGAGAGGATTGCTTAAGCCCAGGAGTTCAAGGGTGCAGTGAGCCGTGATTATGCCACTGAACTCCAGCCTGGGTGGCAAAGCAAGGCCCTCTTTGAAACAATTCACCCAAGCAACCAACCAACAAACAAAAACACCTCATTTAGATGACTGAGCTTTAATTTTTTTCTATAGATATAAATCTGAAAGTTTTATTGGAAATACCTTTAAGTATTTATTATTCATCATTATTTCTGAATGAGGCAATACTGTCTAAAACTACATAGTGAACACATTTACATAGAGTTGGTTATATGATATAAATACACTTTTGTCTTATATATGTTTTTAATTTTTTACCTTATTTTAAACTGTTTTTATTATTATTCCAGGGACAACTACCTAATTTTAAAAATCTATTGCTTGTTTCTTTCTTATAAAATCGCAATATTTTATACAGATCCAATATTTTACAAGTTTTTCTTTTCTAATTATTTATTAATACACCTGAAGAAAACTCTTAAAAACTTTTATCCTAATTTCACTTCTCACCTCCATCAATCACATAATCCTTGTAACTTTGTTCTTCTTCTTCAAACATAAAGATTTTTAAAAATTCTAATATGTTAGACTTTAAAATATTTCTTTGTAAAACAAACAGAAAAAAATAGAAAAAATACAATTTATACAATGTATGTACACCTTTGAAAGTCCATTCAAGTTGACAGACAAACTTCAGGAAAACACTTTGAAAACTATGTATTTCTATTTTACGATATCTATCTCAGGAAGTTAGAAAAAAATAACAACTATACCCAAATTAGCAGAAGAAAAGAATTTATTAAGGTAAGAGCAGAAATTATTGAAATAGAATACAAGTATATAATAGAGGCAACAGAAAGGCAAACCTGACTTATGATTTCATTTCTGATATATAAACAGATTAGAAATACTCATTTCTTTCCTACCATAAGAAAATGGTAGACAAATTTGAAATCACTGAATTTTTTTAGACCCACAGATAGAAGAATTTGCCAGGCAAACCACCATCCTGAAATCTGTAAAGACAAGATCATCCAAAGCATAGCTGTTATGGAGCAAATATTTGTGTTATCCTAACATTTATGTGTTGAAGCCTTAACCCCCATTGTGATGGTATTCAAAGATGAAGTATATTAGTTCTTTAGAGGGACAGGACTAATAGGATAAATGTATACATAAAAGGGAGTTTATTAAAAAGTATTGACTCACAGGATCACAAGGTGAAGTCCCACAATAGGCCATCTGCAAACTGAAGAGCAAGGAAGCCAGTCTGAGTCCCAAAACCTCAAAAGTAGGGAAGCCGACAGTGCAGCCTTCAGTCTGTGGCTGAAGGCCCAAAAGCCCCTGGAAAACCACTTGTGTAGGTCCAAAAGTCCAAAAGCTGAAGAGCTTGGAGTCTGATGTTCAAGGACAGGAAGCATCCAGCACGGAGAAAGATGGATGTGACAAGACTTAGGCAGTCTAGTCCTTCCACATTCTTCTGCCTGCTTTTATCCTAGCCATGTTGGCAGATGATTAGAGGGTGCCCACCCATATTGAGGGTGCATCTGCGCCTCCTAGTTCACTGACTCAAATGTTAATTTTTATTTTTGGCAACACCCTCACAGACACACCCAGCAACAATACTTTGCATCTTTCAATCCAATCGAGTTGACACTCAATATTCACCATCACTTGGGCCCTTTGGGAGTTACAGTAATTAGGAATGGATTAGCTCATGAAGGTGGGGCTTTCCTGATGGGAAAGCTTTATAGATAGCTCTCTTTCTCGCTCTCTTTCATGCCTGCATGGAGAAAAGGCCATGTGAGGACATAGCAAGAAGGGAGCCCCCTGCAAGCCAGGAAGAGAAAGCATACAATAACCTCATTATGTTGGCACCGTGGTCTTGAAATTCCAGATTCCAGCACTGTGAGGCAATAAATGTCTGTCGTTTAAGACCCAGGGTATGGCATTATATTACGACAGCCAACAGTGAGTAAGATAACAGCTAGGATCTGTTTATATGGAAGGGAAAATACTTGAGCTATAAATTGATAGCATTTAAATGACAATTTGGACAAATAGAGACTGAATGTGTACTAGTGTGTCAGTGAGAAGGTCCCAAGAAGCATGGTCTTAGGGGGCCTTACACTTTCATGGACTTTACCTATTAGAAGTTCACAAGATTTTCTGGGGAAGAATCAAGAAATACCTACTCATGTCTCTGGCAAATGGAAGAGAAGTGTAATCATTGTGAAATATGGAGAAGGCTTCATAACAATGGGCTATATTGCAAAGGGAACTAGTTAGAACCTTATCAGAGTCAAGGAAGGGCTTTTCTCTCACTCTAGCCACCTCTATACCTTTCCTATCTGAGAAAGGAGCAAAAAATTAATAGTCAGTGAAGGGAAGAACTTCAAGAAAATATGAAAAATCTCCACCCAGGGAAGCCAGTAGGGAACAATGGGTAGAATAAACAAAAATAAAATTATGTAAATGCAGAAACACTTGTAAAAGTAACAGCCAAAAGACACAGTCCGGGTAAAAGATTGACACGGAATTAGAAGAATATAGAGAGCATCCTCTCTCCCATACTGTATTGCTGCACAAACCAGTCTCTACCATAATACAGTGCCTTACAACTGAATATATTTCATGACACAGACTCTCTGTGGGCAGTAATATGTATGAGAATTCAAAGTTAAGAGGGGAGACAAAAGCAAGAACGTGAGGAACATGAAGCATCTGACTCCATTGATAAAGGAGTTTAGAAGAAATTACTTAGGTAGATTGTGAGGGTATGGAAGTCCTTGGTAAGGTTTTCCTTTTAATGAAAAGTAGCCCCAAATTATTTTTCCTTCTAACACAGAGCAGCTTGTAAATTCGAGCTGCAGACATAGATGCCTGCAGTCGTGCCAATCATACTCAAGATGGTGGCTCCTTTTTTCCTCCTCTTTGTCAGCCACCTGTAGAGTAAGGAGCAGACAAGATGGCCCATGCCAAAGGGAAAATTTATATGCATAATAAAATTAGAGTGGGGCAGCCAGTCTTCCCCATGCACTATGTAAACGTCATACCTGATGGAACCAATCTGTGAACCTTATGTAAATCAGACACTGCCTCCTCAAGCCTGACTATGAAATCTGGCACATCTGCCGTGGGCCAATCCTTTCTTTACGGAAGTACCCTCTCTCTCACTAGAGAGAGATCCTTTTTCTTTCTCTTTCTTTTGCTTATTAAACCTCCTCTCCTAATCTCCTCGTGTGTGTCCACGTCTTAAATTTTCTTGGCGCAAGATAACAAACTCCAGGTATTTAGCCCAGACAATGTAGCCCCTTCTCAACAGCTCTAAAAATGCTAAGAATACCAATTACTAGGCAAGTTAACATAAATCCTCATACTAGAGGCCTTTTTACCGTGGTTCTTAGTACAAAATACCACATGTCCAAAATTCAACAAATGCTTAAAAGCCATGCCAAAAGGTAAAATAAAAGCACAATCCAGATGACGGGTTGATGAGTGCAGCAAACCATGATGGCACATGTATACCTCTGTAACAAATCTTCACATTCTGCACATGTATCCCAGAACTTAAGTATAATAATTTAAAAACCACAATCCAAAGGCACAAAACAATCATTAAAACCAGACTTAGTCATGACAGATATTGGAATGATTAGAAAGGGAATTTTAAATAACTTTTATTAGTATGTTAAGGATTCTAATTGAAAAAGTAGACATTATGCAAGAACAGATAAGTAACAAAGCCAGAGAGATATAAACTGTAATAAAAATTAAAAAGAAAATACTAGGTATAAAGAATGTTGTAACAGAAATGAAGAATGACTTTTATGGCTCATTATACAATGGAACAGACAAGGAAAATATTAGTAAGCTTTTATATAGGTCAGTAGATACAAGCCGAATCAAAATGCAAAGAGGAAAAAATGAATATATTAACAGATCATTGAACTGAATAACAGTTTTATAAAAGTGATACTAGACACACAATTAAAAATGAGAAAGAGGAAACAATGAAATAGAGATATATTTGAAGTTATAACAAAACGTTACAAAAGGAAAACTAAAATTGGCAATATTAATTATGAATTATCTGTACTACATTTAAACTGATAAAGATTTATTTGAATATTGACTTGGGTTAGTCAAAAATATACTAAAAACAATAAAATAAGTATAATGGACATTAAGAACATTGGACATTAAGAACATAAGGACATTGAGATAAAATTTTATCATAAAAAAGTTCAAATAGAACCATACAAGCAGGAGAGAAAGAACAAAAACAAAACAAGAAAGTAGTAATACTTACAAAAATGGTAGATATTAAAACCACCTAATTAATAATTCATTTGAATGGGAATATTCAAAATATACAAATAATAGAATAAATAAACAAGACCAAATAATATGTTGTCTACAAAAAACTGACTTTAAATAGAAAGCTTAGACACTTTGAACAAAAGATACAAAAAAAGACATATGATAATAAGACCAGTTAAAAGAAAGCTATGTAGCTGTATTAATTCCAGACAAAGCAGACTTTACAAAAAGAAGGATTATCAGTAATGGAGAGGGACACTACATACTAATAATGATAAAGGAGTTAATTCACCAGAGACATAAATCTAAACACATATGCATCCAGCAACACAGTGCCAAAATACATGAGGCAAAATTGACAGAATGGAAAGGATAAATTAAGAATCCAATGCTATAGGTGAAGATTTTCACAATCCTCTGTAACTGATATATTAAACTTTCAGAAAATCAGAAAGTTTACAATTGACCTGAATAGCATTATGAATCAATTTGATTCAATTGATAATTATAGAATACTCAATACAACATCAGTGAAATATATATTTTTTCTGAGCTCATATGGAACATTCACCTTCATAGGTCATATTGTGGGTCACAAAATACACCTCATCAAATTTAAATAGAATTCACATGTTGTTTTTTTAATACCCAAATGAAGTTAAACTAGAAATCAATAAAAGAAAGAAAATTGAAAAATATCCAAATATTTGGAAATTAAGCAACACACTTTTAAATAACATGCGGGTCAAGGAATTCTCAATAAAAATTACATATAATATAATATATATTGTATATATAAGGTTATATATAATTTCTCAATACAAATTATATATTTTATACATATATATAATTGAAAATACCTCTTATTCATGGGATGCAACATAAGCACTGATAAAGAAAATCAATAATGTTAAATGTATGGGTTACAAAAATAAGAAAGAAAAAGAAAGCAACAACCTAGCTCTACATTAGGAAAAGAACAAATAAAAATTTAAACCTAAAGTATTTCACCTGGAAAAAGTAATAGAGCAGAAATCAATGAAGCTGAAAATAAGAAAACAATAGAGAAAATTAACAAAATCCAAAGCATATTCTGCAAAAATGATCAGTAAAAGTGATGAACTTCTAACCAGAATAACTAAAAATAAAAGAGAGAAGACACACATTACTAACATCAGAAATAACATGAGGGTCATTGCTAGCAATCTCATGAACTTTATAAAAATAATAATTAAAGATTACTAACAAATGTGGGCTAATTTCAACTTAGATGAAATAGATTAATTCCATCAATGACACATCCTACTCAAAGTATGATAAATGTACTTAAATAGCTATTTATCTCATAAAGAAATTAGATCAATGGTTAATAATCTTCTAAAAATAAAATAGTAGGCATAGATGGGCTCACCAGTGAATACTAACAAATATGTCAGGGTAAAAAGTGATGCCATTCTCAGCAATCTGTCAAAAAAAAATTGCAACAGTGACCACTTCCTATCTCCTTCTACAAGGTCTGCATTGCCCTAATACCAAAATATAAAAATATGTAAAAAAAAAAAAAAACAAACAGCAATGTCTCTTATGAATATGGATGCAAACAATCTTAATATAATAGCTATGTAAACCCAACAATGTATTAGAATATACACCACCACTAAATGAGATATATTTGAAAGACATCGTTTGCTGCAGTATTTGAAACCCAATCAGTGCATCCCACTATATCGACAGACTGAATAAGAAAAACTGTAGAATCCTATGCATTAATGCAGAGAAAATATTTTCTAAAGACCTAATAATGATGCATAATAGAAAAATAGAAAACTAGGAATAGGGAGGACCTTACCCAACTTATTAACAATGATCTATGTCAAACGTACAGCTCATACACTTGATAGTGAAAGCTTGGTCGTGTTCGTCCTAAGAATGGGAAAAAGACAAGGATGTCCTCTATGCTTATTAACACTGTTGTTAAACCGTACCAGCAATCTTAGGTGTCTGGGGGGAAAAAAGGCAACAAATAAAATGTACATAGATTGAAAAAAAAAAGAAATAAAACTCTCTGTTCACTCTGTTAGAGTGGCTAAAATATACAAGTTAGTACCAAACGCTGGTGAGGATGTGAAGCAAGAAATACCATCATTCATCACTGATGGGAAGGCAAAATGGTACAAATGATTTGGAAAACAGTTTGGCATTTTCTTAAAAAACTAAACATTGTCTTATAATACAATTACTAATCATGTTCCTTGGTATTTACACAAATAAGTTGAAAACTTGTTCACACAAACACCTGCACACGTATATTTATATCAGCTTTATTCATAATTGCAAAAACTTGGTAGCAAGCAAGATATCTTTCAGTAGGTGAATTATACAGAAACTGTGATACAGCCATACATTGAAATATGATTCAGTGCTAAACAGAAATGAGCTTTCAAGCTTCAAATGCACATTAGTCAGTACAAAAAGTCAATAGAAGAGGTCAAATATTGTATGGTTGCAACTGTATGACATTATGAAAAAGAAAAAAAAAAAAACTCTGGAGACAGTAAAAAGATTAGTGGTTGCCAGGGGGTGAGGTGAAGGAAGGATGAATAGGAGAAGCACAGAGGATTTTTAGGGCAGTTTAACCACTCAGCATCATGCTATAATGGTGTGTATGTGTCATTATACATTTGTAAATTACAAAAAAAAAAAATAAATAAAAATAAATAAATACAACAGCAAACTTTAATGTAAATTAGGTAATTATGTAAATTATGGACTTTAAGTAATAATGATGTCTATCAGTTACAACAAATGTACCACTCTGGTGTAGGATGTTGACAATGGGGGGGACTTCATGTGTGGAGATAAGGGATTTATGAGAATTCCACTTTTTGCTCAATTTTGCTATGAGTCTAAAACTGCTTTTTAAAAAATACAGTTTATTTAAAAATTTTTTAAGCCTCCCGGTTCACAAATGGGATGAGTGTCTATGCAGAAAATTCCAAATAATTTAGAAAAGCACCCACGTGGAAAAAAATAAGAAAGCATAGTATGACTGAGGGAAACAAGGTCAATATACAAAGTTCAATTGTTTTCCTATATACTAGCAATAAACACAAAAGAATTTGTAATTTTAAAACTACAATTTTCAATTGCATTTAACAAAAAGAAATAGGAATAAATCTACCAAAAATAAGTATAGGATCTATACAGAAACAACTATGAATGCCTATGAAAGAAATTAAAAATTATTGCAATTAGGAGAGTTATATCATGCTCATGAATTAGAAGTCTCAATATTGTAATAACATTTTTTCCCAACTTGACTTCTAATTGAATGTTTTCCAATCAAAATCCTAATAGACAAGTATAGATATTGATGAATTGATTCTAAAGTTTCTATGGATAAGCAAAAGATGTACAATAATCAACGCCATTCTTGTGAATATAAAAAGAAGACTCAAATTACCCTATTTTGATACTTAATGTAAATCTACAGTTTTCAAGACAGAAAGATATTCACAAAAAAATACACACATTAATTAGTTAAACATTACAGAGTTGAGATACCTTATACAAAAAATAACAGAAGATTGGTTCAAAGCCAAATATAAAATGCAAAACAATAATGCATTTTACAAAAAGGAGGAGAAAATCCATGTGACCAATGGTTGAGTAAATACTTTTTTAATATAATACTAACAGCATGACTTAAAAAATGATAGTTTGCACTTTAGTAAAATTTAAAAATTAAAGTATGTAAAAGATGCAGTCAACTGGGCGCAGTGGCTCATGCCTGTAACCCCAGAACTTTGGGAGGCTGAGGCGGGTGGATAACCTGAGGTCAGGAGTTCAAGTCCAGCCTGGCCAACATGGTGAAACCCCGTCTCTACTAAAAATACAAAAATTAGCCAGGCATGTTGGTGCGCGCCTGTAATCTCAGCTACTCAGGAGGCTGAGGCAGGAGAATTGCTGGAACCTGGGAGGGAGAAGTTGCAGTGAGCCAAGATTGTGCCATGGCACTCCAGCCTGGGCGACAATAACGAGACTCCATCTCAAAAAAAAAAAAAAAAAAAAAAAAAAAAAAAAAAAAAAAAAAAAAAAAGAAGTCAAGAGCATGAAAAGACAAACCACAGACTGGAAGAAAATATTTTAAAAATACTTATCTGCTAAATAACTTGAATCCAAAATCCAAAAACATTCCTAACCTAACAGTATGAAAACAAATTAATTAAAAATTTAGCGAAACATCTGAAGGGATTCCTTACAAAGGAAAATATGCAATGGCAAATAAGCATATGAAAATATTCTTTTGTCCTTAGAGAATTTGTCCTTAGAGAATTACAAATTAAAATAACAACGAGCTATTGCTTCACGCATATTAGAATAGTTAAAATCCAAAATACTGGTAATACCACAATACCAGCTCTTGGCAAGGACTCAGAGCAACAGGAACTCTCATTCGTTGCTGGTAATATTATGGTCCTTTGCAAGCCAGTTTATGACTCAGCAACTGAACTCTTGGGTATTTAATCAACTGAGTTTAAAATTTATGTTTATATAAAATCATGACACAAATATTAGACACATTTTACATAAATATCAAATTATAGAAGAAGCCAAGATATTATTCAATGAAGTTGAGTGCAAAAGCAAACGGTGGTATGTCCATGCAATGTTGTACTGTTTAGTAATCATAATTAAAAATAGCTCTCAAGCCCTGAAAAAATATAATTTTATTTGAATATCGCTAACTAAAAAAAACAGTTTGAAAAGGCTGCATACTGTAGTATTCTATTTATATCACATTCTGGAAAAGGCAAAACAATAGCGAGGATGAACAAATCAGTGATTGCCAGAGGTAAATGGTGGGGAATAGTTGAATAGGTAAAATCCAGGGTATCGTTTAGAGCAGTGTAACTATTCTGTGTGAGACTGTAATGGTGAATAGATACCACTATTCATTTGTCAAAACTCATAGAGCTTTATAACATAAAGAGTGAAATTTTTTTTATAAACACAGGAGATTGGAATATCACAGGTTGTGATTTAGAATGGTAAGCAAACAAATAAACAACAACAAAAAAAAACTAACTGTATTATAAATATATTTAAAAATCTCACTGACGTGATAGTGTGCTGGCTTAACTAACTTTGGAAATGGTGCAATGAATAAAAAGTCTGAATGAAATGTGCTTAAGCACAGTGCCCTATTTGATAATGATTATCAGCAGAATACTGGTTAAAAATATTGGAACCATTATACGTGTATGATGGAATTAAACAATTAATTGAATTGATGGTAGATGTTAGCAGACATGTTTCTCACCATTGGTGTAGAAATTTACTGCTAATTAGAAAGCTAGAATATGTGTTATATTCGATTTTGATACATCAGTAAGAACCTATGTTAAGCTTAATATAGATAAAGATGAGTGCATATAGAAATATTTACATGTATGCATATACACACAAGTTAGTGTAAACGCATTTATACTAACTTTTAAAACATATTACTTTCCTCCATTAACAAGAAGAGGGCTAGAAGAATAATATTCTTGTAGCAACGCACACACCTAACATGTAAATCGTGATTTCTAATACTGTTTTCCAATAAAATGAACTAGGGCTCTTTAGGGAGAGCTAATTCTAGGACTGGGAAACAAAATATACAAAAATAAGGTTAAAGCATCTTGTGGCTCCAGGAAATAAGAAAGTCCTCTAAAACATTAAAATAATGTGTAAAAAAGACACAAAAGCTAACTGAAAGAGCTTCAAGCAACCAAAATGGAAAATTTTGAACAACAAAATATAGTATTGAATTATAACCCAAAGCATATAATGTCCATGAGTCCATACTAAAATAAATAAATAATTAAACAACAAAAATAAATTAAGAAATAAATGGGGAAGAACAGCAAAAATTCCCTATTTAGGATTTCAATTATTTTATGTAGATACTTTACTCTCAAAGAAATAGAGCATTACTCCCCACTAATTAAGTGTGGCCTTCACTGTGTGTCTTACCTCAAATGAATGCAGTATGGAATGAGGGAAAAAGTATTTTTTACAATGAAAAACCTGACAAACTCTACCTCAGCCAGATGATCAAGGTTAAAATAAAAAGTAATGTCATGTTGACAGAAGATGCTGTTGTTATGATGTAATAGTAATGGCGCTTCTATGGTCTGTTTTCCCTAAAATTTTGTGACAGTTAATTTTATATACTCACTTGACTGGGTTGTAGAGTGTCCAGATATTTGTTCAAACATTATTCTGTGAGGGTGTTTTTGAATGAGATTAACATTTAAGTGGGTAGACTGGTTAAAACAAATAGTATCACACTTTGGAAGCCAGTTTGTCAGCTTTTCACAAAGTCCAACAGTTATACCACATGATTCAGCAGTCGTACTTTTGGGTATTTAATCATATGAGTTGAAAATTTATGTTTATATAAAAATCCATAAAATAAAAATTTCCACCCCCTTCCATAATGGCAGTGAGCTTCATCCAGTCAGTTGAAGGCCTGAATTGAACAAAAGTTTAACTCCTTCTCAAGTAAGATACTTTTTCACCCTACTGACCTTTGAACTGGAGCATAAGCTTTTCCTGTTTCTACAGCAGATTTCAGCTTTGAAATTAACTGGGGCATAAGCTCAGCAGATTTTGGATTTACCAGTCTCCATAATTGCATGAGTCAATTTTATAAAATAAATCTATACACACACACACACACACACACACACACACACACACACAGATATATACATACCATATTGGTTCTATTTCTCTGGAAAACTACACCCATAGTCTAATTAAAAAAAATAGGAAAATCCAATTTGAGAAATAGTTTACAAAACACCTAACCAGTATTTATTGCTCCAAAAATCAAAGTCATCAAAAATAAGGAAAATCTAAGAAGCCAGAACAGTGAGAAGGGCCTGAATCAGACATGACAACTAAAAAAATTTAACCAGATACCCTGAATGAGATCCTAGAAGAGAAAATGAGTATTAGGCAAAAACTGAAGAAATCTGAATAGCATACAGAATTTGCTGAATGATAATGCATAAATATTGATGTATTAATATATCCTAGAAAAATTCCATCCTAAAATAAACTGTCAACAATCATGAAAATAGAGTGTGGGTTCATATGTGAACTCTCTGTACTACATCAATTTTCCAATAAATTTAAAACGATTATAAGACGTTACTTTTTAAAGGCAAAATGTTTTCTTTGAGAAGAGCAGTAACTATGATTTTTATGTCATTTCCCTAAAACTGAATGATTTGGCCAACTGCTATTGTTACTGTATAAAGAATAGTTTTGTTTTGTTTTTTTGAGATGGAGTCTCACTCTGTTGCCCAGGCTGGAGTGCAATGGCATGATCTTGGCTCACAGAAACCTCCGCCTTCCAGGTTCAAGTGATTCTCCTGCCTCAGTGTCCCGAGGAGCTGGGACTACAGGCATGCACCACCACGCCCAGATAATTTTTGTATTTTTATTAGAGACGGGGTTTCACCCTGTTGGCCAGGATGGTCTTGATCTCTTGACCTCGTGATCTGCCTGCCTTGGCCTCCCAAAGTGCTGGGATTACAGGTATGAGCCACTGCGCCCAGCCAAGAATAGTTATTTAACTTAACATTAGTTAGATAAGATTGTTATGAAAAATATTCATCTTGTAATTCACAGAAAACTTCATTTCAATTATTTGCAACATGACTATACTAACATTAAATACATCTTTATTTTAAACTGACTAATGTTCAAACTATGTACAATTTTGTATGGTACTAATAAAGATCAGATGTGTTTTGTATTTATTTTATTTGATGATCCTTAATAGTTATTCACTAATTAACATGGAAACTCTAACTCAGTTAATTTCTAACACAGAAATATTCCAAATAATATAGAATAATAAGAAATCCCAGTGACGTTTAACTTTAATAAGCCTGCTAATCATGCTAAAACTTACTACTTGGTGATTTTTATACTTTGAACTCTTATATACTGTATCATTTATTTTCTTATGGTGAAACACATTATAGAAAAACTTTTTTTATTATTATATTTTAAGTTCTAGGGTACATGTACACAACGTGCAGGTTTGTTACATATGTATACATGTGCCATGTTGGTGTGCTGCACCCATTAACTCCTCATTTATATTAGGTATATCTCCTAATGCTATTCCTCCCCCCTGCCCCCACCCACAACAGGCCCCAGTGTGTGATGTTCCCCTTCCTATGTCCAAGTGTTCTCATTGTTCAATCCCCACCTATAAGTGAGAACATGCGGTGTTTGGTTTTTTTGTCCTCGTGATAGTTTGCTGAGAATGATGGTTTCCAGCTTCATCCATGTCCCTGCAAAGGACATGAACTCATCGTTTTTTATGGCTGCATAGTATTCCATGGTGTATATGTGCCACATTTTCTTAATCCAGTCTAGCATTGATAGGCATTTGGGTTGGTTACAAGTCTTTGCTATTGTGAATAGTGCCGCAATAAACATACGTGTGCATGTGTCTTTATAGCAGCATGATTTATAATCCTTTGGGTATATACCCAGTAATGGGATGACTGGCTCAAATGGTATTTCTAGTTCTAGATCCTTGAGGAATTGCCACACTGTCTTCCACAATGGTTGAACTACTTTACAGTCCCACCAACAGTGTAAAAGTGTTCCTATTTCTCCACATCCTCTCCAGCACCTTTTGGTTCCTGACTTTTTAATGATCGCCATTCTAACTGGTGTGAGATGGTATCTCATTGTGGTTTTGATTTACATTTCTCTGATGGCCAGTGATGATGAGCATTTTTTCATCTGTTGGCTGCATAAATGTCTTCTTTTGAGAAGTATCTGTTCATATCCTTTGTCCACTTTTTGATGAGGTTGTTTGTTATTTTCTTATAAATTTCTTTGTGTTCTTTGTAGATTCTGGATATTAGCCCTTTGTCAGATGAATAGATTGCAAAAATTTTCTCCCATTCTGTAAGTTACCTGTTCACTCTGATGGTAGTTTCTTTTGTGGTGCAGAAGCCCTTTAGTTTAATTAGATCCCATTTCTCAATTTTGGCTTGTGTTGCCATTGCTTTTGGTGTTTTAGACATGAAGTCCTTGCCCATGCCTATGTCCTGAATGGTATTGCCTAGGTTTTCTTCTAGGGATTTTACGGTTTTAGCTCTAACATTTAAGTCTTTAATCCATCTTGAATTAATTTTTGTATAAGGTGTAAGGAAGGGATCCAGTTTCAGCTTTCTACATATGACTAGCCAGTTTTCCCAACACCATTTATTAAATAGGGAATCCTTTCCCAATTTCTTGTTTTTGTCAGGTTTGTCGAAGATCAGATGGTTGTAGATGTGTGATATTATTTCTGAGGGCTCTGTTCTGTTCCATTGGTCTATATCTCTGTTTTGGTACCAGGACCATGCTGTTTTGGTTACTATAGCCTTGTAGTATAGTTTGAAGTCAGTTAGCGTGATGCCTCCAGCTATGTTCTTTTGGCTTAGGATTGTCTTGGCAATGCAGGCTCTTTTTTGGTTCCATATGAACTTTAAAGTAGTTTTTTCCAATTCTGTGAAGAAAGTCATTGGTAGCTTGATGGGGATGGCACTGAATCTATAAATTACCTTGGGCAGTATGAGCATTTTCACAATATTGATTCTTCCTATCCATGAGCATGGAATGTTCTTCCATTTGTTTGTGTCCTCTTTTATTTTGCTGTTTGTAGTTCTCCTTGAAGAGGTCCTTCACATCCCTTGTAAGTTGGATTCCTAGGTATTTTATTCTCTTTGAAGCAATTGTGAATGGGAGTTCACTCATGATTTGGTTCTCTGTTTGTCTGTTATTGGTGTATAAGAATGCTTGCGATTTTTGTACATTGATTTTGTATCCTGAGACTTTGCTGAAGTTGCTTATCAGCTTTAGGAGATTTTGGGCTGAGACGATGGGGTTTTCTAAATATACAATCATGTCACCTGCAAACAGGGACAATTTGACTTCCTCTTTTCGTAATTGAATACACTTTATTTCTTTCTCCTGCCTGATTACCTTGGCCAGAACTTCCAACACTATGTTGAATAGGAGTGGTGAGAGAGGGCATCCCTGTCTTGTGCCAGTTTTCAAAGGCAATGCTTCCAGTTTTTGCCCATTCAGTATGATATTGGCTGTGGGTTTTTCATAAATAGCTCCTATTATTTTGAGATACGTCACATCAATACCTAATTTATTGAGAGTTTTTAGCATGAAGGGCTGTTGAATTTTGTCGAAGGCCTTTTCTGCATCAACTGAGATAATCCTGTGGTTTTTGTCATTGGTTCTGTTTATATGCTGGATTATGTTTATTGATTTGAGTATGTTGAACCAGCCTTGCATCCCAGGGATGAAGCTCACTTGATCATGGTGGATAACCTTTTTGATGTGCTGCTGGATTTGGTTTGCCAGTATTTTATTGAGGATTTTTGCATCAATGTTCATCAGGGACATTGTTCTAAAATTCTCTTTTTTTGTTGTTTCTCTGCTAGGCTTTCATATCAGGATGATGCTGGCCTCATAAAATGAGTTAAGGAAGAGTCCCTCTTTTTCTATTGATTGGAATAGTTTCAGAAGGAATGTTACCAGCTCCTCCTTATACCTCTGGTCAAATTCGGCTGTGAATCTATCTGGTCCTGGACTTTTTTTGATTGGTAGGCTATTAATTATTGCCTCAATTTCAGAGCCTGTTATTGGTCTATTCAGGGATTCAACTTCTTCCTGGTTTAGTCTTGGGAGGGTGTATGTGTCCAGGAATTTATCCATTTCTTTTGGATTTTCTTATTTGTGTAGAGGTGTTTATAGTATTCTCTGATGGCAGTTTGTATTTCTATGGGATCGGTGGTGATATCCCCTTTATCATTTTTTATTGCGTCTATTTGATTCTTCTCTCTTTCTTCTTTATTAGTCTTGCTAGTGGTCTATGAGTTTTGTTGATCTTTTTAAAAAAAAAAGATTCTGGATTCATTGATTTTTTGAAGGGTTTTTGTGTGTCTATCTCCTTCAGTTCCACTCTGATCTTAGTTATTTCTTGCCTTCTGCTAGCTTTTGAATCTGTTTGCTCTTGCTCTCTAGTTATTTTAATTGTGATGTTAGGGTGTCAATTTTAGATCTTTCTTGCTTTCTCTTGTGGGCATTTAGTGATATAAATTTCCCTCTGCCCACTGCTTTAAATGTGTCCCAGAGATTCTGGTATGTTGTGTCTTTGTTCTCATTGGTTTCAAAGAACATCTTTATTTCTGCCTTCATTTCGTTATGTACCCAGTAGTCACTCAGGAGCAGGTTGTTCAGTTTCCACGTAGTTGAGCGGTTTTGAGTGAGTTTCTTAATCCTGAGTTCTAGTGTGATTGCACTGTGGTCTGAGAGACAGTTTGTTATAATTTCTGTTCTTTTACATTTGCTGAGGAGTGCTTTACTTCCAACTATGTGGTCAATTTTGGAATAAGTACAATGTGGTGCTGAGAAGTATGTATATTCTGTTGATTTGGTGGTGGAGAGTTCTGTAGATGTCTATTAGGTCTGCTTGGTGCAGAGCTGAGTTCAATTCCTGGATATCCTTGTTAACTTTCTGTCCTGTTGATCTGTCTAATGTTGACAGAGAGGTGTTAAAGTCTGCCATTATTATTGTGTGAGAGTCCAAGTCTCTTTGTAGGTCTCTAAGGACTTGATTTATGAATCTGGGTGCTCCTGTATTGGGTGCATATATTTAGGATTGTTAGCTCTTCTTGTTGAATTGATCCCTTTACCATTATGTAATGGCCTTCTTTGTCTCTTTTGATCTTTGTTGGTTTAAAGTCAGTTTTATCAGAGACTAGGATTGCAACCCCTGCCTTTATTTTGTTTTCCATTTGCTTCGTAGATCTTCCTCCATGTCTTTATTTTGAGGCTATGTGTGTCTCTGCATGTGAGATGGGTCTCCTGAATACAGCACACTGATGGGTCTTGTCCCTTTATCCAATTTGCCAGTCTGTGTCTTTTAATTGGAGCATTTAGCCCATTTACATTTAAGGTTAATATTGTTATGTGTGAATTTGATCCTGTCATTATGATGTTAGCTGGTTATTTTGCTCATTAGTTGATGCAGTTTCTTCCTATCATTGATAACCTTTACAATTTGGCATGTTTTTGCAGTGGCTGGTACCGGTTGTTCCTTTCCATGTTTAGTGCTTCCTTCAGGAGCTCTTTTAGGGCAGGCCTGATGGTGACAAAATCTCTCAGCATTTGCTTGTCTGTAAAGTATTTTATTTCTCCTTCACTTATAAAGCTTAGTTTGGCTGGATATGAAATTCTGGATTGAAAATTCTTTTCTTTAAGAATGTTGAATATTGACCCCCCACTCTCTTCTGGCTTGTAGAGTTTCTGCCGAGAGATCAGCTGTTAGTCTGATTGGCTTCCCTTTGTGGGTAACCCGACCTTTCTCTCTGGCTGCCCTTAACATTTTTTCCTTCATTTCAACTTTGGTGAATCTGTCAATTATGTGTCTTGGAGTTGCTCTTCTCAAGGAGTATCTTTGTGGTGTTCTCTACATTTCCCAAATTTGAATGTTGGCCTGCCTTGCTAGGCTGGGGAAGTTCTCCTGGATAATATCCTGTAGATTGTTTTCCAATTTGGTTCCATTCTCCCCATCACTTTCAGGTATACCAATCAGATGTAGATTTGGTCTTTTCACATACTCCCATATTTCTTCAAGGCTTTGTTCATTTCCTTTTACTCTTTTTTCTCTAAACTTCTCTTCTAGCTTCATTTCATTCATTTGATCTTCAATCACTGATACCCTTTCTTCCAGTTGATCGAATCAGCTACTGAAGCTTGTGCATTTGTCACGTAGTTCTCGTGCCATGGTTTTTAGCTCCATCAGGTCATTTAAGGACTTCTCTAAACTCGTTGTTCTAGTTAGCCATTTGTCTAATCTTTTTCAAGGTTTTTAGTTTCTTTGCAATGGGATTGAACTTCCTCCTTTAGCTCGAAGAAGTTTGATTGTCTGAAGCCTCTTCTCTCAACTCATCAAAATCATTCTCCATCCAGCTTTGTTCCATTGCTGGCAAGGAGCTGCGTTCCTTTGGAGGGGGAGAAGCGCTCAGATTTTTAGAATTTTCAGCTTTTCTGCTCTGTTTTTTCCCCATCTTTGTGGTTTTATCTACCTTTGGTCTTTGACGATGGTGATGTACAGATGGGGTTTTGGTGTGGATGTCTTTTCAGTTTATTAGTTTTCCTTCTAACAGTCAGGACCCTCAGCTGCAGGTCTGTTGGAGTTTGCTGGAGGTCCACTCCAGACCCTGTTTGCCTGGGTATCAGCAGCGGAGACTGAAGAACAGTGAATAGTGCTAAACAGCAAATGTTGCTGCCTGATCATTCCTCTGGAAGCTTCGTCTCAAAGGGGTACCCGGCCATGTGAGCTGTCAGTCTGCCCCTTCTGGGGGTTGCCTCCCATTTAGGCTACTCACGGGTCAGGGACCCACTTGAGAAGGCAGTCTGTCCATGAAATTGTTTGAAACTAATTGGCTTCTTTCTGAACTCTAAATTGTTTGGTTATGTGTTAAGCTTTATGAGCAAAGTATAGAAAGCTGCCTATTGATGATCAGCTAATTTTGCATCAAGGTTAGTTTGAGTAAGAATTCAAATATATCAGGTGGCAATTTATTGTAGAAATAAAACTGAGGTTTCTTCTAGTCCCTCATCTTTTTACTTTTTATTTAAATACTGGCTTTCACAATTGAAGTTCCAATTATCTCTTACTAATTCAAGAGAAAAATAAGCAATTTATTTATGTGTTATTTAGAAAATTTAAAATTGCATATGGGAGAAAATTAATACCATTCATAATACTATCAATCACAGATAAATATCTTTTTCCTTTTGCCATACATATCTCCATCAGTTATCTTACATAAATTTTAAAATAAACACAAATTTATTTATAAAATATTACATGAACTAAGCCTGGCGCAGTGGCTCGTGCCTGTAATCCCAGCACTTTGGGAGGCTGAGGTGGACAGATCACCTGAGGTCAGGAGTTAGAGACCAGCGTGGACAACACGGTGAAACCCCATCTCTACTAAAAATACAAAAATTAGCCAGATGTGGTTGTGGGTGCCTGTAATCCGAGCTACTCGGGAGGCTGAGGCACAAGAATCACTTGAACCCAGGAGGTGGAGGTTGCAGCCAGCCAAGAACACACTATTTTACAGAGCGAGACTACACCTCAAAAAAAAAAAAAAAAATTGCATGGACTAGATAAGCCTCTGAAAATTTGTTGATAGATAGCTTAAATATTATTTAACCTGTTTCAGAGCAAATAAAATGATAGAAAGCCCACAAATCATTCTCTTGTCCTAGTGTGGTCATAATACAAAATATGGTGGATAAACAACAAAATATGTTGTTTTTCCCTTTCTCCGAACAAACTATAAACTCTCAGCTTCAGATATACATGAAAAAATATATGATTTATCAAATACAGCAGATTTTAATAAGAAATACGCTATAAGCAAGAATGGTTTGTTTCAAATGTGGCAAGGATTTCTTAAGAATTAAACAAAGTATTCCTGTGATTTACTACACAGACTCACTTCAATAATGTTAAACAATGAGCCATCCATAAATTCATATGGCTTAAGAGGAGAAATTCTGGGCAACCATACAGTGCTTGATACAATACAATGCTTGATACAATACGATGTTTGATAAATTGGAGGATCTAATGCAAAAGGGTCCCTTGCTCCCTCTAATTCTTCAAAGTGGAACCCCTATATTCATTCACAAACTAATGTTCTTGAAACACTATTAAACAAGAGAGTGAATTTGTGAAAGAGCTTGTATTGTTTAGAGTAACATCTTTGACTACCTTACAGAATATTCAGGTACTGCATGAAGAAATGTAAAATTGCACCTATTTCCAGGACTCCTAATAAGATAATAAATCCAATGAATAGAAAACCAATGGAGGAAGAATCAGCAAGACATGTAAGACTGAAAACTAGAGAGCACTTTGAAAAGCTGCTTATCAAACGGAGTGCAATAAAGATAGGAAAGAACATAACCAACATGTGATTTTTTTGCAGATAAAAGAGTGCAGAATGTTCAATGACCAGATGCAAGATGAATTTTCTTTATTATATTGACAATTTTCAATTTCTGGGCTTAGAGTCTTAATTATGGGAGAAAGTAATGCAGAGAAAATACTACATAGACCAAGTGTCACGGCTTGAATGTCACTAAACTGAAATAGCAAGAAAATGACTAAGTAGATTTAACCTCCTTTATCTTTCAACAAGAATGACTAGTAAAATATAACATTAACAAATCAGGACCGGGCCCGGTGGCTCATGCTTGTAATCCCAGCACTTTGGGAGGCCGAGGTGGGCAAATCACAAGGTCGGGATTGAGAGCATCCTGGCTAACACGGTGAAACCCCATCTCTACTAAAAATACAAAAAAATAGCCAGGTGGTGGCACGTGCCTGTAGTCCTAGCTACTAGGGAGGCTGAGGCAAGAGAATCACCTGAACCCAGGAGGCAGAGGTTGCAGTGAGATGAGACTGTACTACTGCACTCCAGCCTGGGTGACAGAGCGAGACTCAGTCTAAAAAAATAATAATAATAATAAAAAAATAAAATCAAGCAACTGAATAATAAAGTTAAAATTGCAGAATAACCAAAAATATTAAAAACTAAAAGCCAGATTAGTACAGCTAACAGGTATGTAATAGTAACCTAAATAGGTGATGTAATAGTAACCTAAATAGGTGCCAGTACGGGACAGAGAGTCTAAAGGTTACTGACTGAAGATTTTATAACGAGGTGGAAAAAACTGTATTGAAGATTTAATATTGAAGACAAGGAGCTGGAAGTGACATCATCTGAATAAAAGTGGGACAAATAAGGGGCTACATCGTCCATGAAATAAAAGGAAAAAAAAGACTTAAAAAAAAAGGTATCAGTAGAAAATTTTACCTATGCTTCAAGCTCTGAGTAGGGAAAAAAATCTACAAAACTCCACCTAATAATCCACAATACACATTTATTAACTGAAAAGGTATTCCATTTTAGAAATAATGTTAAAAAATTAGAAGTCCAGTGAGATTTCTGAGGTAATGGAGACAGAAACATCAAAGTTATATATAAACAATATTAAACCAAGATTGCAAGGAACTTCTACAAAACAAAATGCCTCTGATCAAAGATCATGATTAAAATTACAAATATACTCACACAGACAAAAAGAGAGATCAAACGTGAAAAGGAATTAGGTGAAACATCAAAAAAGATTACGACACACCAAAATTAGGATAATATAATAATATTTTTTTTAAATGTGAAATAATTTTAAATAATTAAAAATTTTTAAACAGAGAAGAGACTTTGTAATGAAAAAGTAGAACATAATTACAAAGTCTAATTTTGGCAGATATAAAATATATTATCATTAAAATAAACTGTAGTCGTTAGGTTAAATTAGCACACTAGACAGAGTTAAAGAGAAAATTGTATGTATTGGAGAATATCGCTGAAGATATTATACAAAGGTGAAAACTACTGACTTTTGAAAAAGAGGACAATAGACATGAAGAACAGAGTATGACAATTTGAAAATAACCTACAATGAATTTCAGAATAATCATAGAATGTGGCAATGCAAGGAGAGGCAGTATTCACAAAGAGTGGAATATTTTGAGTACTGATGACAGATACATAATATTAAAGAATTAAAATTAGTTCAAGTAGCTTCATACTCTGAGACACTAATATCTGCTCATTGGCCAATTGGTATAAATAATATATTCCTTTGAATTATTATTAGTTATATAAATGGTGCTAATCAACTTTACATGAAGTAGAATCAAGTTGGGTGAGATATTTTAAAAATACAAAGCAGTCTCTAGACATTAGGCTTTGGACTTTTTACTACCTAGTGCTAGGTAGACCGTCAAAATTGCATATCTTCTTCAATCAGTGAAAGTGATTGGCACCTAAGTAAAATGCACATAGGCCCCACTGTGTCTTTTTTTCCTGATTTACCATTTTTAGATGAAGTGAACGCAAATTTATATTTTGAGAATAAAGTGTCACATATGGAAACTGTTAGTGATATTCAGTTTAAGATATATAGGCTAAATTGAAGAAAGGATCAAATTATTTAAATTCCAAATGGAATTAAATTTCATGAAAAAGAATCATGCTTTGCTTACATCTAAATATAATAACTTCTGTTTTTACATTAACCAATGAGAAATCAGCTGCTCTAATTGGAGAGAATTTGTTTAACTATTTGGTTAAATTTCTGGTTGTCAGAGATTTTTCTAAATTAAAAAAAAATCTGAAGAATTCTTATGCTAGTGGTAGCTGAAAATTCAATGTATTTTTTTTTCTTTTGTGGCCTCGTTTAAATTTTCATATTGTGATATTTTATTTTGAAAAGCAAGTTTAAAATAAAAAATATCTTCAAGAGAAAGAAAACAAAAATGATGAAAATAGAAATGAAGAAAATAGATGAAAAAGTAGGCAAGCTAGACAAAGTAGAATAGAATTTCTACAATGTTCTAGAATATAAAAATGTATAAAGTTGACATTAATAGAAGTTTAAAAATGCAAAATATGGAATTAAGAACTTCTGGCAAGGACTACTGGCAAGAGCAGATTAGATATGGGAGGGCACAACACTGGCGAACTAAAATACGTGTCAAAAGAGAACATCTGGGCCGGGTGCGGTGGCTTACGCTTGTAATCCCAGCACTTTGGAAGGCCGAGGCAGGCAGATCACGAGGTCAGGAAATCGAAACCATCCTGGCTGATACGGTGAAACCCTGTCTCTACTAAAAATACAAAAAAAAAAAAAAAAAAAAAAAATTAGCCGTGAGTGGTGGCGAGCGCCTGTAGTCCCAGCTACTCAGGAGACTGAGGCAGGAGAATGGCGGAATGGCGTGAACCCTGGAGGTGGAGCTTGCAGTCAGCCCAGATCGCGCCACTGCACTCCAGCTTGGGCGACAGACCAAGACTTCCTCTCAAAAAAAAAAAAAAGCATGTAAGCTGGATCACAAACAGAGAAAAGGAAAAAAAGAGCTTATGACACATGTGGTTCAGACCATTCAAACATTCTGACACACATTTAACTATAGTCCTAAAAGCAGACAGAAGACACAGTGAGGTAATGGAGACAGAAACATCAAAGTTATATATAAACAATATTAAACCAAGATTGCAAGGAACTTCTACAAAACAAAATGCCTCTGATGAAAGATCATGATTAAAATTACAAATATACTCACACAGACAAAAAGAGAGAGAGATAATATCAGTTTTTCTAATATTTAAGTGATGGTTTCTCTATGGCCTTCACAAGCAATTTATTTTATACATGTTATCCACTTGAATAACTTATTTTACTTCTACACCATTGACTCGGAAGCATTTTACAAACACATACATTCTCTTAATTATGCCTAAATCAATTAACTGTGTCCCTTTTAACTGTACCCATCACGTTTGAGAAAAAGTTAATTTTGTGTTATGGTGGGGTTAATAAAATTTACTACATAAATGCCTAATTTCCTCTCCCTTTGAAAGGGCTGCATATTGAATTAAGGTAATTTAATCAGTTTTATAATTCAATTCTAAACTATAAATGTTTGTGTTGTCTATTCTCAGAATAAGATAATAAGATTTCCTATGTTATCTGCCTGCTCAAATTGCCCCCAAACGCATACTCCAACTTCCATGCATAAATCTGTTTCTCTACCCACCTGAAAATCACTGGAGCAGTGAAAACCTATTCATAGACCTAGCCAATGTATCATATAGAACTTAGTTACTGTACTGAGATATACGTATATATACACACACACACACACCCATATATATTTAAATATACACACCCATATAAACATATATGTTACATATATGAGATACATTTTATTATATCTACTCTATTTTTATATTTAGTTTATTAACAAAAAAGCCATTTTAATATTGCCAGAAAATAGACCAATGAATCAAAATGGATTATTTCTTAGCCAGCTGACATGAGTTAAACAGAGTTCTGAAATATATAATTACATTGAATTTAATGGTGATATTTCAGATTAGAGAAAAAAATAAATGACTGCAAGAATGAAAAATTATTTTGAAAAACTAATAAATTTTTTTCTAAGTGATAAATCTTCCATTTGGCTTAAAAATCTAAATAATAATATTTAAAAATATATAAATTCCAGAGGAAATATAGAAGTGAATATATATCTATAGCATACAAGAGATAATACTTAAAATATAGAAAAATAACTTTAAAAGCTTTACAATAGCAAATTTAAAATATCTATAACCCAAAGATACCACAAGTAAAAATATTTGCAGTAAATAAGACATATTATTGAGTGCAAGTGCATGAGTTTTGCATGTTTTGGGGTGTGTTAGCCTAAGGAACTTTCATAATTATTTAAATGAGATAATTAGCCAATATGTGAACCAATTTCTATAAGTATACGACACATGTTGAATTTATAGAAAACAGAAAAATCATAAAAATCATATGATAAAAGGAAATATAATATTTTTGTATGCCTGGCAAAATACAATCTTTAGAAACAATCTAATATTGGCAAGGCAATGTAGAAAGAGTACTCTCATTTTTTATTGCTGAGAGTATAAATTATTAAAGTCCATTAAAAGGCATTTTTGCAGTATTTATTAAACTTTAGGATATCTACAAAATACTCTTACCCTGTGTATTAGTCCATTCTCACATTGCTATAAATAAATACCCGAAGCTGAGTAATTTGTAAAGAAACGGGGTTTAATTGATTGATGGCTCTGCAGACTGTACAGGAAACACAGAGGTTTCTGCTCCTGGGGAGGCCTCAGGAAGCTTTCAATCATAGTGGAATGCAAAGAGGGAGACAGTCATCTCCTATGTTGACAGCGGGAGCAAGAGAAATCAGGAGGGCAGGTGCTACACACTTTTAAATGACCAGATTTCAGGAGAACTCACTCACAATCATGAGCACTATATCTAGAGGGATGGTGCTAAATCATTCATGAGAAACTTCCCCCACGATACAATCTCTTCTCCCACCAGGCCCCACCTCCAATACTGGGGATTATAATTTGACATGAGATTTGGGTGGGGACATAGCTTCAAACCATATCATCCTGTGATATCGTAATTCTACTTCCTATTAGCTACCTTAAAAAAGCACTAATACATGTTTATATGAAGAAAATTATAAGAAAAATGTGTCATTATTTTCAATGTTAAAACAATGTGAAGTACCTACTTATTATAATAAGATTATTAAACAAATAAATGTTACATCTTTATTATAGGTTATTGACTAACATACAAAAATATTAATTAAAATTGATGTAATTTATATTTTTTGTTGTTCAATATTGGAATTCCACAACTGTTTATGAGAATTTTTTAGTGTATGATTTTTGGTGGATTTGGAAGCCAGATATTTGCTTTTTTCTAAGTGCCCTTGCTGCTACAGTGTGAGCATAGAAATAAGACTGGTCAATATACATCTAAAAGTAAAGCTGAAGTTATAAGCTTACTAAACAAAATAAGAATAAAATAACTGTGATGTAAAATTTGTCTTGGGTTAGAAAAAAATTGTCTTATACAGTATATAAGACAAACACACAAATGCACATACTCGGTAAAAGAAAAAAAGATAATTTGGCTTCATTAAAATTTAAAACTTTTAGTCATTAAAAGGCAGTGTCAAGAGAATGTAAAATCAAGCTACAAATTGCTAAAATATATTTGTGTATAATAAATAAATATAATACATTTGTATAGAATGAAGGTGATTATATCACATTACATGCTTGTATTAAAATACCTCATGTACCCTCTAAATATATACACCTACTATGTAGCCACAAACATTTTTAAAAATTAAAAAATATATAAACACAATGCAATAAGATGAAGAGTTAAATAAAATACTTGGGCAAGAAATTTTAAAAGACATTTCATCAAAGAAGATATATAAATGGAAATAAGCACATAAAACTATGCTCAACATCCTTAATCATTTAAAAATCTTAATTTGAGCAGCAATAAGATTCCATTGGAATGGCCAAAGTTAAAAAATCTGTTGATTTCAACAGATTTTTGTGTTCATGTGGAATGACTGGAATTCTCATAAATTGCTGGAGGAAGTTAAAATGATGTAACCACTTATAAAACGGTTTGGCAATTTCTTACAGACTAAAACTAAATTTTGTATAAACTTACCATATGATCCAGCAATCTATCTAAGTAATTAGCCCAAGAATAGCGGAAACACATGTCTATAAAAAGACTCGCATGTACATGTTCATAGGAGCATTATTCGTAATAGCTAAAAAATAGGGTCAAAAAGTAATACACATTGACTGGTAAATGTATAAGCAAACTGAATTACTTTGAGTTGAATATTACACAGCAATGAAGAAGGAGAAAATACAATACATGCACCAAGATGAATGAAACTCAAAAGCATTTTGTAAATGAAATTAATCACAATAGACTACAAAAAAAATGAGTCTGTTTATATGAAAATCTATACAGACCAAACAATGATAAGAATAAGTAGATCGAATGTTGTTGAGGGTCAGCGTCAAAGGAAGTTTATCTGTAAAGGATCACAAGGAAAATTGGTAAGGTGTTGGAAATGTTCTAAATTTAATTGGAGTTAACGTTTACATATTTTAAAATCATGAAATTGTACACTAAAATGTGGTGAATTTTGTTCTATATAAATATTACCTAAATAAAGCTGATTAAAACATTAGTTGTTAATATTGAAGCATGTCCATTTTAGCAAAGCATGATCTACAGGAGGGACCATAATCAGGTGACTAATGAAATCAATGAAAAAGGAAGGTAAATAAAAGCCTAGGTTTGAGTGGCTACTCTTTGTCAGGCGCTATGATAGATACTTTCCCACATATTTTCATGGCAAATAGTAAATGCAATATGGTAAATGCAAGGAACGACAAGCAGTACAATCTCAGCTTATTTATGAAATTTTGTTTTATTGCATTACCACAAGGAAATATATACTAAAAATGTGTTTCACCGGGCGTGATGGCTCACGCCTGTAACCCCAACACTTTGGGAGGCCAGGTGGGCGGATCACTTGAGGTCAGGAGTCCGAGACCAGCTTGGCCAACAGGGGGAAACCCCGTCTCTACTAAAAATACAAAAATTAGCCGGGCATGATGGCAGGCGCCTGTAATCCCACCTACTCGGCAGGCTGAGGCAGGAGAATTGTATGAACCTGGGAGGCAGAGGTTGCAGTGAGGCGAGATCATGCCACTGCACTCCAGACTGGGTGACAGAGCGAGACTCTGTCTCAAGAAAAAAAAAAAAAAAAAGGTGTTTCATTTCTGCAGTTACATTTTCAAACTTTAGCAGCAAAGCATTTGAAGTCCTCATGTTGACGTTTCTACTTGATTTTTCTCAAGCCTTATTGTAATTATTAGTAATGAGAAGTGAAACAGCAAGCTTTTTTAACCTGGATATAAGTTCATTTTACTGTAAAATGTGTTGAAATAATATATATTTTTGAGGAGAGTACCATTTTGTTTCACGCTTAGGAAATTACTTACCATAATAAAACATGTATATATGATTTGATTTTCTATCTAAAAATTATTTCTGGGAAATCATTTTCTCATTACTTAGTTTACTAAGATGCTTTTTAGAGGGAGGTGGTCATCTGAAATACATAGCAATTCTATAGTTTGGTAAACATGGCAGTTCTTTAGGTATTTATCATCCATTATTTTCTGAAAAGTCATAGGACTCTATACATTGGCTCGGTTTTCATATAGTAAATAAAATATTTTAAAAATGATTTCAATTTTGAAGTCATTTCAAAAATCTCTTCTCGGATTTAGATTTTATATTTTTATATGACAATATTCTGCCTGTACTAAAGTGAACATATTTTACAGCATATAAAACTGTCTGGAAATAGTAACAGCATGTAAAATAAATTGTAAGCAAATGTAAACTAGTAGATGTTTATAAGTTATAGACCCTTTCCTTGTAGGAAGCCTCTCAAATGTTGTCGTTCACTTATTGATTTTTTACTGAAATATTTTTAATGTAAATATCCATGTCATTCAACCAAGTACAAAACATAATAATATAACTGTTTTAATAGTTATTTAAATTGACATTTATTATTTTTATGACTAAATTTTATAAGTAAATAATCATTCATTTAACATTTAATAAAGATTTCGATTAGAATTATTTTTCTAGCTACTATTCTTATGTAATTCATTGAAAATTAAAAAACAGTATCAGTGTTAAAATTGTTTAGAGATTCAATCTGAACTTTCATTTATCTTTTTATAATACTGTCATATTTAAAAATGATGAAAATTCATAAAATTCATAACTATTTGTTTATTCTAACATTTACAGAGTGTTATTAAAGTGGTAACACCTTTTTAGGAGTATATTAAATTATTAAGTAAAAATGATAATTTTTCTGGTTTTACTCCAGGTTAGATTATTTTTTTCTTAATTCCAGTTGTCACCTTCATGATACTAATAATATCATGTTGATATAGTTTAGATATTTGTCCCCACCCAAATCTCATGTTGGATTGTAGTCCCCATGCCTGGAAGTGGGGCCTGGTGAGAGGTGTTTGGATCATAGAAGTGGATCCCTCATGGCTTGGTGCTGTCTTTGCGATACTGACTTATCATAAGACAAGGTTGTTTGAAAGTCTGTGACATCTCCCCCCACCCCTCTCATTTGCTGGCCTCCATTCTCCCTATGTGATGTGCCTATTCCCCTTTGACTTCCACAGTGATTGAAAGCTTCCTGAGTCCTTCCCAGAAGCAGATGGCACTATGCTTCCTGTACAGCCTGCAGAACCCTGAGCCAATTAAACCTCTATTCTTAAAAATTTCCCAGTCTGGGCATATTTCTTTATAGCAATGCAAGAATGGCTTAATACAATCTATTTCAGTTCTTATCATCAAATTCATGGGACATGGATGCTTTAAGTGTCCCTAAGCCATCATAACAGTGGATTAAGTAAAAAGTGGCTTTGAATAAATAGTAAGCTTGTCATCCAAAACTTGTGCATTAGAAACAAAAATGTGTTTGTGTGTGTGTGTGTATGTGTGTGTCCTTAGCTTCTTGGTTATCAGGATGTTGGAGATTGCATTTAAGAAACAACTCTGTTCTGTGATGTAAATTTGTAGTATATAACTTTCTCATAGGTAAGGCAGTTATAAATAGTAATGAAATATGCCATATTGTGTTTTTAATATGAACAAATGCTAACTACAAAATTGTTTCTTGTAGTTTTTTCTCATGAATTTGATCTTGTAAGAGACCTCCCTATAATATCACAAGCAGTACTGTGTAATATTTATGCCAGATTACTAGTTACTAGAAGCTAGTAAAAGTTACTCTGCTGTTACTAGTTCTTGAACTTTACATAATAATATTAACCTACCAAGGTTGTAAAACTGAATGCTGATATTAATTCTTATAGTAGGCAGTGGATAGGAGAGAGGAAATAAGAGTAGTCATCAGCTATATTGTCTTGGCAACATTCCTATATTTTCTGTAGCTTACAATATTTTCTCTTATGAATCACTGCAAATTCCACCACTTGGATGTTTGCAGTTGCACTTTTTATGTGAGTTACAGAGCTGCTAGAGCTTGCACAGAATTAAATGTCAGATAAAATCAACACAAGTGTTTAATGATATGAAATAAACCTGACCAGGGCTTAGGGGATTCTTCATATTAGCAAATGAGTTTCTATGAGTAAGCACAAGGAAAATTTAAATGCATACTTTTACTCTGTAAGAAAATTATGGAGTTTAAAAAATAATATTTTTGTTATTACTTATTGAATAATACTTGTATATATATGTGTGTGTGCTTGGTTTATTAGAACAATTTAACTCATTCTAAATATTCTTCATGTAATTTCAAGGAAGAGCATTTGATTATGAATTTCAGGTTAATTTTGTTTAGGGATTTTAAGAATATTATGATTCTATATCAATGTTCATTATTATATTATAACGATTCAGAAATAAAAAAGTATTTAATAGATAACATATAAACTTTTAAATTTTTTTCATTAAAATTTAAATGATAAAAATTCACTCTCGAAAAAAATAGACACAGATTGAGTTAGGCCACAAAACACATTAATACATAATTTCTCACATGGGCTGGCATTGATTGCAGCTTTTCCAGGCCCACAGTGCAAGCTGCCAGTGGAAATACCATGCTGGAGTCCACAGGACAGTAACCCTCTTCTCACAGCTCCATTAGGCAGTGCCCTAGTAGGGATTCTGTGTGAGGGCTTCAATTCCACATTTCCCTTTCACACTGCCTTAGCAGAGGTTCTCTGTAAGGGCTCTGTCCCTGAAGCACATTTCTGCCTGGACATCCACGCATTTCATTGCATCCTCTAAAATCGAGGCAGAGGTTTGCAAACCTCAATTCTTGACTTCTGTGCACCTACAGACTCAACACCATGTGGAAGCTACTAAAGCTTGGAGCTGGCACCCTCTGAAGCAATCACTTTAGCTGTACTTTGGCCTCTTTTAGCCATGGCTGAAATAGCTGGGACACAGGGCACCAAGTCCCAAGGCTGCACACAGCAGGGGTGCCCTGGACCTGGCCCAGGAAACCATTTTTCCCTCCTAGGCCTCTGGGTCTGTGATGGGAGAGGCTGCCATGAAGGTCTCTGACATACCCTGGAGACATTTTTCTCATTGCCTTGTCAATTAGCATTTGGCTACTTGTTACTTATGCAAATTTTTGCAGGGGACTTGAATTTCTCCCTAGAATATTGATTTTTCTTTTCTACTGCATCATCAGGTTTCAAATTTTTCAAATATTTTTGCTCTGCTTTCTCTTGAACACTTTGCCACTTAGAAATTTCTTCTGCCAGATATGCTAAATTATCTATCTCAAGTTCAAAGTTCCACAGATCTCTAGGTCAGGGGCAAAATACCGCCAGTCTCTTTGAATACCAAGAGCGACCTTTACTCCAGCTCCCAACAAGTTCCTCATTTCCATCTGAGACTACCTCAACCTGGACTTTATTGTCCATATCACTATCAGCATTTCAGCCAAAGCTATTCAACAAGTCTCTAGGAAGTTCCAAACTCTCTCACATCTTCCTATCTTCTTCTGAGCCCTCCAAACAGTTCTAATCTCTGCCTGTTACCCAGTTCCTATGTCACTTTCACAGTTTCACATAACTTTACAGCAGCATCCCATGCTCTGCAGTACCAATTTATTGTATTAGTTCTTTTTCATGCTGCTAATAAAGACATACCCAAGACTGGGTAATTTATAAAGGAAAGAGGTTTAATTGTCTCACAGTTCAGTATGGCTGGGGAGGCCTCAGGAAATTTACAATCCTGGTGGAAGGGAAAGCAAACCTATTCTTCGTCACGTGGCAGCAGCAAGAACTGCAGAATAAGTGGGAGAAAAGCCTCTTATGAAACCATATGATATTGTAAGAACTCAGTAACTATCATGAGTACAGCATGAAGGTAACCTCCGTGAGTCAATAACCTCCCACCAGGTCCTTGCCATGACACATGGTGATTACGGGACCTACAGTTCAAGATGAGATTTAGGTGAGGACACAGCCAAACCATATCAATGAGAGTGAAATATTGAGTATATATGGACACAAAGAAGGGAATAACAGACACTGGAGCATACTTGAAGGTAAGGTGGAAGATAATAGACGATGGAAAAACTACCTATCAGGTACTATGCTTATTACCTGTGTGATGAAATAATTTGTACGCCCAGCCCGCATGACATTCAATTTACCTGTTTACACTTTACAAGTTTGACATGTACTCCTGAACCTAAAAGTTTTTGTTAAAGAAAATAAATATATCAAAGAGATTTTTTTAATTAAAAAAAATAAGGAATGTGCTATATTGTAGCACATCACCAGCCCGTAAACTTGACTGTGGCTGGATCGTCTAGATGAACTTGTAAAATATATAAATAAACACAAGGTTAAAATTATTTCTTGAAAAAAATACAACTCATTGAAAATTAAAAAAAAAAACACATAATTTTATTATGCAAAACAGTAAGTAGCATATAGGAGAGAAATTCTTAGAAATAAATGAAGAAATTTAAAGATATTTATTGGACAATCTTTAACAAAATAATTTCACAATATTGAGAAATGATTAGAGAAATCTAGAAACTAATAGATGCCACACTTTTCACCACTGTAACCAAATAAGATTATATAGTTGGACAGAAAGAATATAATGGCCATCTTTTTAAGGTGAGCACACTCAAAGTTGACTGCCCATAATTGCCTCCTCCTGGTATTCACATCTGTTTAATCCCTTCCCCTTGAGTGTGGGCAGGACAAGTGATCTTACTATAACCAATAGTACATGGAAAGATGATGGAGTTTTGAAGGTGTAATTAAGGTCTCAAATCATCGGTTTTGTGTTAATCAAAAGGGAAGTGATCCTGGTAGGGTCTAACTTAAATCAAAATTATTGAAGGAGGAACTAAACACTTCTTGAGAAGACAGAGTCCCCCTTTTTGGCTTTGATGGATTAAAATGCCATGTTGATAAGAAGGTCTGTGGAAATGGCCACATGGCATGAAACGTCTAGGAGTCTCTGGAGCTCTAGGAGCTGATGGTGGCAACTGGTGATATTCAAGTAACAGTTCTCTCACTTCTTTTTTATTTCATTTTATTTTATTTTTGAGACAGAGTCTCACTCTGTCACCCAGGCTGTAGTGCAGTGGCGTGATCTCAGCTCACTGCAACCTCCACCTCCTGGGTTCGAGAAATTCTTCTGCCTCAGCTTCCCAAGTAGCTGGGATTAAAGGTACATGCCACCACGCCTGGCTAATTTTTGTATTTTTGGTAGAGATGGAGTTTCGCCATGTTAGCCAGACTGGTCTTGAACTCCTGACCTCAGGAGATCCACCCACTTCGGCTTCCCAAAGTGCTGTGATTACCGGCATGAGCCACCAATGCCAGGTCCAGTTCTCTCACTTCTATAGTAGATAAATCCTTCTAACAAGCTGAGGAAGATGGGAAGCAGATTTTCCCCCTTTGAGTTTCTGATACTACTACTTCTAACAAGCTGAGGAAGGTTGGAAGCAGATTTTCCCACTTTGAGTGATACTACTACTGATCAGACTACCCTTTATTGCAGACTTTTATGACCCTGAGGTGAGGACCCTAGACTCCTGATGCATTGAAGCTGTGAGATAATAAATTGTGTTGTTTTAAGCTGCTAAACTTGTCATAATTTGTTATGTAGCAGAGGAAAACTAATATGCTTCCCAATATACTTTTAAAGTCAGATAATGAGGAACAGCATTCTCTGACTGTGGCTTATTAAATTAAGAAAAATATGCTTTTAAAACTAGAAGATTTAAATAAAGGGCAAAATATAAGAAAGTTTTCAACACTCCTAATTTATATATGATTAAAAATCAAAAGCAAACCCAATTTATCTTCATTCAAATAAAAATAAAATTAGAAAGATGTTAACTTTTTCTGTTTGGTTAACTACCCTATACCCGGATACTAGCATAGTGTCTCTCTCATAGTAGAATTGTTACTTCTCTACAGCCTTTAACAGTATTAGTGAAATTGTGACATTTCTTTAGGTTAGTAAAATGGGAGCATAAGCAAAATGTTTGTCTCTCCTAAGCTTTGAGAGCCAATATATGTATTAGCAAATTCCCTTTTTCTTCTTTGGAAATTATAGGTACATGTGTCAAAGCAGAAGCTCTCTTGTTAACTCACTTATCAACTCAAATGAGCAGAGCCTTCATGACAGGGAGTATGACAAAGAATGAAACATTCACTACACTAAGCCATGAAGGTTTGGGTTTATTTGTTACTGCAGCAAGAATAATATAAAAAAAGGGGGTGAGATATTCTTGAAGTAGGGCAGGTGCTACTGTGGGAAAGTGAAAACACAAAAAACTTTGTGTTGTTTTAAGAGTCAATTAATTTAATGGGTTGGAAGATATTAGTACCGGAGTCTATAAGAAGAGTAATATATAGTGACAAAACATTTGGCAAAACTGTCACTATGATAAAGTAGGACGCAGAATATACAATTGAACTTTTATTTATATGGTTAGATGCTAGAAAACATCATCTTAGTATGGGTATATGGGTTATCAATGGTTTCAACAGATTAGGTACTATTTTTGAAAAGATAGTTGTGGGAAAATTAAACCTAGTAAATTTGAAGTAGAATAAAAAAGAAACAGAGAGGCTAGAAATTTAGGGACTTAGCAGGTTGGAAAACACAAATTTTTCTCAACTTCCAAAGGCAAAAAAATAAGCTGAGTTAAGACTTTGAGCTATAAAGGTCAATGATAACTTAGAAATGTGTGAAAGATCAAAACATTGGAACACATGTTTGGAATTATATGAGTAAAGTAGTACCATTCAATCTGTTCAATTAGAAGAAATAACTCAAGCCAAGAGTATAACGCTCTTGCAAAAGCCTAATAAGCCCATACTAGCCACATTAGGTAAAGAGAGAAAAAGAAAGAGATCTGGGTCTGGGGCCAAAAATAAATACAGTAAATAAGAGAATTATTGTGTCTAGAAAGGAACTGTGTGCTACAATGTGTGATTATAGCCGTTTAACACATACAGTTAACTTGATTAAAATAGATCAGAAGCTTATTGATTTAAGTCTACTTTAATCAACACATGCACCACAATCCTGTACTAAATAACAATAAAAACACCCGAGTGCTCACATATATTAACATACAGGAGGTGCACTGAAAAAGCTGCTCAGGCACAGGGCATGTTTTCAGATACCAGCTTCAAGTGTGGGCAAGGATCGGAATCAAAAGCAAGTTTCATCCAGAAAGTGAAGCCAGTAGTCATGGAGAAAAAATGGGCAAAGTTGCTCAGGAAAAGCTTTTCCATCCTCTGGTTAGGGCAGTCTATCAATAAATGCAAAAGTGGGATTTGGCAACTATTAATTAAATTATGTATAAGTTAGGCTTCATTCTTACGATTTTACTTTTTGACCATTTACATCTTTAGTTTTATTTTTAATTCATTGCAAAATGTACATAATCTTATATTGAAATTTATAAAACTTAAGATTTTTACTTTGGTTTTTGCATTAATTTTTTAAAAATATACTATTAAAAAGAAACATGCATAATCTTTGGTAGTTTCATCTTTTTTTCCTTACATACTGTGTATTCCCCTGTTCAATTCGTATTTTATATTTACTTTTTGTTGTACTATATTTATTTTTCAAATATATATTTAAACATGGCAGGAATAATTCAGTTACAATGGGTGTTGAAATTATCTAAAAGTAAGAGGTGACAAAAAACAAAATATAATAGTTGTTTTATTTTCTAAACTAGCAGAAGTAAAGCTATGAACATGAATAATTTGGAATACATATACATATTATATATTATATATTATATATATATATATATAGAGAGAGAGAGAGAGAGAGAGAGAGAGCAAATAGATATACACATATCTATCATCTATTTGGTATATATATAGATACACCAAATGATAGATATACACATAGCTATCATCTACCTATTAATAACATGTATTTATTTCTTTTCTACTTCTTGTTAGCTTTATTCTCTCAAGTTAAAACTCATCACAAATTTCTTCTTTCTTACATTCAGCTTTTTCAGTGATGGTAATTTGCCTTGAATGATCTGCTCATTTCACATCTTTTAAAAATATTTCTTCTTCTTCTTTTTCATAGGTCTGATTATTATTTTTACAAATATGTTTATTTTAGGAAAAGAAGGTCTAGATTGATGTCTACTGGTGATGACTTCTATGGCATCCTTTAAGAATCATGTCACTGTTCAGTATTCTGAGGGACAAAAATACATTTTCTATTTCAGTTAGCCCTTGTGTAAGCTGAAGAAAATAAGGAAAAATATATTTTACATATTCCAAAATCTCTTCAAGAGAAAATAAATTGAACCTGCGTAACACAGAACAATTACAAACTATGATTTAGCTTGTTAATTAGAGATGACAAAGTGAACAAAACTTTTTTGGTAAACATCTACTGTACTGATATCCCACTCTTGTTCTGAAGTCAGAATACTCTCATTTTCCTGGGATTTTTATTTCAAATGATTGAAATTATCAACAGAACGTTAAGTCCTGGACCATATTCTAACATTATTTTGTGGTCTCAGAAAGGAAAAATGACACAATAACTCTAAAGGATGTCATTAAAATGAGCCAGATGTTCAACATAGCAATTCCAGTCTTATTGGTTCTTGTCCCAACATTTTTCTTCTGAAGTTAAGTGCTTTCTTCTCACTTGTTTAAATCACTTTTAGTGCCCATCCAGTCATGAAGACCTAAATTTTTCTGTACTGGCTTTATGTTACTTAGAGAAAAGAAGTTAATACTCATTGCTGAAGTTATATACAGTTTGTAAAGTATCCTTTATTTTAGCATATTAACAACTTTTCCTATAATTAGAATGAATAAACTAGATGTTTTACCTATGTAATCATCCATCCAAGTGAGAGTTTATGAAAAAAATTCACTTTCCTATCCATCCAGTTTACTCAATACCAAACTAGTGAAGTATCAAGGTTTTTTTCCCAATGGAAATATTTAATGTGTGTATTGGTTGACTGGGATGTTTGACATGAAAATTTCAGTTTATTTGGAAGATTTCCAGCAGATGTTTGATTTCTTGAATTAGTAGCTTGCCTATGAAGTTTTTAAATGGCATAATCTCTCTTACATTGCTTTCCATATGAAGTGAAGCCTGAGTGTGTAGCCCATGGTTAGCTGTTACGTGTATTGGTCACTGAAGGAAGCCCTAAATTTCTTGTAGTTGATTCCTCTGAGTATTCACCAAGGCTGCCCAATTGTCCAAACCCTGTGAGGTGTTACAGTTGCATATGTACAGTTAGAATATTAATTTTTAGAGTCAATAGGAAAGAAAATGCCCAATGATTCAGGATTTTTACCAAATATGCTAACTCATTTTTTTCCTTCCAAGGCTCTTAAATGGCATTCAAATGTTTGCTGTGGTTAAATCCCTTCTCTTTGTCTCTGCTGCCCACATTGACAGACTTCAATGCCATATCCCTCAGTTCATTTTTAAACCGATTACCAGCTACTCTGTGTGGAAATAACTAGCATGAAATTTAAATCCCTTCAGTTTTTTCTTTATTACCCATCTTGACTTGTTTTCAGTTCTTCAGTTCTGAACTTTTATTGTTTTCAGGGCTCATTTAGAAAACCTGCTCACTTATTCCTCCAGGTTTTCCCCTTTTGCCTGCTTTAAATCACAGGCTATTCTGCATGGATTAGTTTTGTCCTCCATCTGTTCCCATCTGCTTCATGTCTTCCAGACAGTGCTCAAAATTCTGCTTCATTGAAAACACCCTATGTCCAAATAATGCTAAAATTGTTTTAAAAAATATTTTCAAGTATCCTTTGAGAGGAAGGAGAAAATACATGTGCTAAGTTATCTTCTTTTAAATAAGATAATTGAATGTACTCATAATGTCCCAGCTTCTGTCTGTATTTGGCTTATTATCTCTTCTATTTTATCTCTGTTAAGCATTCTGTCCCATAGGGTTTTGCATAAAAAATAATAGTGAGAAATATTAAATACTCCCATTCGTAATTGTCTTTGATTGAAAAGTCTCCATTATTCTCAAATACTAAAAGATATTCTGTCAAAAGATAAAATTTTTCATTTAACATTGGCCACTGTCTGTATTTTCAAAGCCTATCTTTTCTCTGTGTGTGTGTGTGTGTGTGTGTGTGTGTGTGTGTGTTTGTGTGTGTGTGTGTTTGACCAAAGAAGTTCCTGTAATCAGAGAAGCAGAAAGAGCTGGCTGGGTCCCAGGACAGGATATTCTTTCTAGCCTATTTCAGCCTAATCTAGAGTTTAACTAATCTAAACTTTCAACCTCTCAAGAGGATGTGAACTCCAACACAAAGGATGCTTACTTTGTGTCTAAGTTGATATTTTGGACACTATTATCAACTTAACCTTCTTCATCACCATTAGCAGCTGGATAATTATTAGTTACTTCTTTGTCATTTTGTTTCTCCTGTCATTGCTGTAAGCATGATTTTAGAATAAATGTTAATTTTTGCATTTGACATTATGTAGATGACAAAAATTTGATATATAGCCAATTTTTTACATTATTTATATATAATATTTCAAAAACTCTTTATGTACTTGCAGTAAAATTTGCCAAATTGTTCCCCTACTTTATTTAAAACTTTCATTAGGCTTAATAAATCTTCTATGTAGAAACACATAAGGATAACCTGTTTAAAAATTGTCTCTTATTTATCTATTTAATTCACTTGGAGATTATTCCACTGTGAGGTCTAATGTGGAGTAATGTTGCAAATGAACACAAGTAGTACAATTTCTTATAAGGTGACAGACTATAGCACCTTACTGTAAATGCTTAGATTCACATTTTCTAGGCCAAACCAAAGTTTGCTCTAATTTTAAAATAATCAGTAATTTTCAAAGTAGACAATTCTAAATATTATGCCTTTCACACAAATTTGACTTTCACTTGAATTGCATTTTGTTTGCTATTTTAGGTTTATAGATATGTCCAATATGACTAAGGCTTTGTCAACTGATATTATTTTATTATTTATTTTTTTGAGATGGAGTTGCGCTCTGTCGCCCAGGCTGGAGTGCAGTGTCGTGATCTCGGCTCACTGAAAACTCCACCTCCCGGGTTCAAGCGATTCTCCTGCTTCAGCCTCCCAACTAGCTAGGATTACAGGCACCCCCCCACCACGCCCAGATAATTTTTGTATTTTTAGTACAGACCATGCTGGCTAAGCTGGTCTTGAACTCCTGACCTCAGGTAATCCACCCACCTCAGCCTCCCAAAGTGCTGGGATTACAGGTGTGAGCCACCGTGCCAGGCTGTCAACTGCTATTATTTTAATTAATATTGAGAGATCATGTTGGAGGACAATTTGAAAATAAAGAACAACCTTCAATATATATTAAACTATTTATTTTATCAAACTGTTACTTTACTTTCATATAATTATTGTACCATCTTACACAGTAGTTTCAACATGTAATAGATGAGATATTGAAATTTGCCAAATACCTGATGACATATTAATGATTCATTATAACACTTTTGGTTAAACTCATGCTGCATTACATGTGAGAAACTGTCCCTAAATCTTTTGCTGTGCCACCCGAATAAGTTATTTGTAAATCTATTTAGAGAATATTGTCCATATTTTTATGCATCAATGGCTAAGAGCAGGAGTTATATTTTTTAAATGTGATCCTGACTTTTTTTGATCTATAAAGTTGAAAAAATTACTGATCTCACATATTTCTCAAAAATAGAAATCATAAATGTACATTTTCAAATGGATGTTGTAAATATCTATGAGTTGATTTAATTAAAACTAAGAGTGGAGTCTGGCATTATCACATGGGCTCAATAATTCATTTTCTACTGTTCTATCTGCCTATTGTATATCTTTCTAGCTTCTCATCTAGCTAACTAGATTTTTAAAAATTATCTTATGTTGTGATATCAAACAAGCCATTTTCATCAAATAACAAAATTTATTTCACATTTACATGCAGTCCATGGTGGTTGGGGTAACTCTCTATAGAAATTGTCCTCTATGTTGGTTAATTATTCCAAGCTGCTTTGATGTGGATGCTACCATATGAATACTTAATTTTAAGATTGTAGTGGCATGGCAAAAATGATCTTAACTACTTTCACATACAAGCGGTATTCATACTTGTGATCATAGTTCATTAGTTAATGAAGACATCTGGCTATGCCAAACTTCAAGGTAACTAGAAACTTTAGTTCTCTGGTATCCCCATTTGGGAAAGAAAACTAGAAGTATTGAAGAGCAGTAACAACATGTACCACCTACCTATCAATCAACTACCCTTCTACTTAGAAATTGAGAGCACCATAAATACTGAATCTTCAGTACTCATTTTGAGAGGAGGAAACTAAAATCTGGAGAGAGAAAATTATTTTCTTAGAATAGTAAGATATACGAGTGATAGAGCTAAGACTCATAAGCAAAACTTCCTAATCCTTAGTTTTCAATAAACTTTTCATTATGAAAAGGTAGAATTAAAATAATTTCAATTGAATACTGTAAAATTAAAAGTGCAGTGGGTACATAGAAATAATGGAGCTTTAAGACGATCAAAACTATACAAATGTTTTGGAAATAGGTATGGAGAAATAGAGATAGCCTCTAGAAATATGCAAATTTAATGTCTAACTGAATAAATTAAAGTTGTAGCAACCAGTATGAAACAAACACCCAGTGGTGAGTAGCTTTCCACCACATCCCCCTTAAACAGTTTTACCGACAAATGTCTCTAGTGATGCACCACTCCATGAGCATCTTTCTTAAACACTAGAGAGACCAGATTTTTTACAAATTCCAAATGGATGTTTTCCAGCAAGATTCATTGAGAGAACCACAAAAACCTCTCTGCCATTCAGTGAGTTACAAATCTCTTCAACAAGGTCTAGCTCTAAGACCAGGAAGTGTCTTTCATGAATGCTTTATCTTAGCTGTAGGGGTAATGACTGCTCTTTATGTCTGCTATACTCATCTTTTTAGAGCTCTCTTAACTTCTTACTAGGCAATTCCTTATCACTTTATTTGCTTGTTTTATATATCAATTATTTACATTAAAATTTTCCAGTTCAAATGATTGTGCAATTTCTCTCTCATGATTGGAATCTGACTGATACATATTAAAACCTAAATGAAATACACAGCTCTGTTTAGGCCAAATACTCACAAATTTCAAAAATGCTTGTTTGCTTAATAGAAACTTATAATTATTTTAACTTATTAGTAAAACCCCTGTACAGTATGATACAGTTCCAAATAAGTGCTCAGTATGTGTTACTTGAATTTGAATGAAGAACTCATCTGAATCTGAATTAAATTACAGTCGTGCTCTATAACAACATTCCAGTCAAGATGAACTTCATAAATGGTGGTCCCATAAGATTACAATAGAGATGAAAATTTTCTATCATCTAGTAATATCATAGCCATCATAACATTGTACTTTAATTCATTACCCATGTGTTCACAGTGATGCTGGTGTAAATAAATATACTGTGTTGCCAGTCATATAAAAGTATAGCACATACAATCATGTACAGTCATAATACTTGATAATGATAATAAATGACTGTTACTGGTTTATGTATTTACTATAGCATACATTTTATCTTTATTTCAGAGTGCACTCCAACATACATATAAATAAAACATATACCTCTATATGTATATATGTCTGTATGTGTATGTGTATATATATGTACACTATACATAAAAACTATATATGTATATAAACTATAAGACAGCCTCAGTCAGCTCCTTCAGAAGGTATTATGGAAGGCATTGCTCTCATAGGAGATGACAGCTCTCTCTGCGTTATTGTCAGTGGGACAAGATTTGGAGGTGAAAGACGAAAGATTTGGAGGTGAAGGATTTGGAGGTGAAAATTATAGACAAAGGATATAAAGAAAAATAAAATGTTTGTATAGCTGTAAAATATGTTTGTGTTTTAAGCCATTATTAGAAGAGTGGAAAAGTTAAAAATTTATAAAGTAAAAAGTTACAGGAAGCTAATTTATTATTGAAGACTGAACATATTTTACAAATATAGTGTAGCCTAAGTCTAGAGTGATGTACAGTAATGTCCTAGGCCTTTGCGTTCACTCACCACTGACTCCAGACTCACGCAGAGCAACTTCCGGTCCTGCAATGACAAAACTGCCAAACAGCACATTTCTTGGGAAATATCCCTGTCATTACGTGATGCATGAGTGTGTGTGTGTTCATTGAGAAAGATACTGAACCCAAGATATAAGAAGTTAGGGAAACCAGCTTCAAGAGATTTGGCAACTAAAGAATAGGAATGTTGGCCGGGTGTGGTGGCTCACGGCTGTAGTCTCAGCAGTTTGGGAGGCCAAGGTGGGAGGATCCCGAGGTCAGGAGATTGAGACCATCCTGGCCAACATGGCGAAACCCTGTCTCTACTAAAAATACAAAAAATTAGCCTGGCGTGGTGGCAGGTGCCTGTAGTCCCAGCTACTCGGGAGGCTGAGGAAGGAAAATCACTTGAACCCGGGAGGTGGAGGTTGCAGTGAGCTGAGATGGCGCCACTGCACTCCAGCCTGGGTGACAGAGTAAGACTCCATCTCAAAAAAAAAAAAAAAAAAAAAAAAGAATATAAATGATTCAGATACGAAATTATCAGTTACATTAAATGAATTTATATTTTTGTTTTATTATAGTGACAACAGTGAATAGCAGAAGGAAGAATAATACAATTTTTAAAAAGGAGACTCTAGAGATGTCACAAAAAAGGATATAAGTACAAGAGTGAGTTTTCTCTGCAAAATGTGTGTGAAACTTAACAGTCACATTAATTATGTCACATATATTATGCAAATACAATTTAAAAAAGGAAAATTGTGATTTAAAGGTAACTTAAATATTAAGCTATATATCACTATTATCTGGGCCTTTTTCAAGCAAAATCTAAAGTTTATTATTCTGATAAATTAAAGACATTATTTACTAACAATTTGCTATGAATAACCTAATGGAATTGCATCCTATAATAATGAAAACTAATGCTGTTATATGCCCACATTTTATCCTAATTTTTCAGCATTAATTTTTAAAGAATAATAACTTTAATTAAATGTTTATAACCCCAAGATAAAAAGAATATTAGACTACCTCATGGTTTTCCTGTTAGCAGTCTGCAAGTACTATGAAAATACAATTTAAAGATTAGACTGTTAGGCATACACTTGTGAAAAATCAGTGTTAAACTCAACAATGCTCTAGTTTGTTTGTTTTTAACTCTAAATTTCCACAATTTCTTGGAGAAGAATAAGTGCATGCAGTGTTTGCAATTTTAGACCTTTTGCACTCGAAGTGATTTCATGACAAAAATTTCTGTAGGAGCTTAAAGAAACATAGTTATTTTACATCTGGTTTAACTCAAAAGTGGCTGAAGAAATTTACCTCATGTTTTCTAGCAAAAATAAAAATTAATCTTTTTTGCGTTATCAGTTGTAATATATATGTCCAAGAATAGTATTGTTTGATTATTGTTGAGCACTATCCTAAATTACATATCAGGGAAATTATTCATAACTAAAAGAAGTAAACAATAGCAATTAATAATCAACACTATCTCTAAAAGTAGCACCAAATATAGGGAATTCGTATACTAATAAATATATGTTTTTTCTGCTTTATTTTGAATGATAAAATTATATTGTTTATAATTTACACTAGGATGTTAATAACTTCCTCCCTACCTATAATTCTTTCTTAACAAAAGTCTCCTGTGAGTGCCCCCATATCCTCTAGCTTTGACCATTGGAGACCAGTGTCATAGCTATCTTGAACTAATTAGATTTTCCTTCCCCAAAACGTGGATTTTGTTTGCAGAAATCCAAGCTCAAAAGGTCTTGTACATTCATAAGCTAACATCTCCATATCTGGCTGTCATGATAGGTATTTTCAAGTAGTTGAAGATGCCAAAAATAAACACTGTATTGGATGATACTGTCGTTGTTTGGATGACAGGTAGAACAAGTGTGCATGGAGATCTAGAGAAAAGTAATGAAGGAATCTTCTGCATTTATCTAGGAGTTAAGGTTTCTGTGGATATTTTTTTGAATGACATATATTCTTTGCTTCCTGAGGGTTTATTTCTAGTAGGTGTTGTTACTTTGGAGCCAAATAATCACTAAACAATGGGAATATAAGCCACATTTTAAAACTTTTAGGATGCTTACAAATTGACTTTTTCCTTAAAGAAAAAATGTAAAAAATTGTACATATATGATTTTTATATTTGTGTTATATGCATTCTAACAATGAATACTAGAGCGTTTAAGCACTCTTGATTTTTATTCATAATCTCTGTTTTCCCATTTGTTCTACTCTATGTCATAACACATAGTGCAGGACAGGGTATTAAAAAGAATTTCTAAGTAGAAATATTTCACAGAAACTAAAGACCCAAAAGGCAAATAACAATACATTAAACTATCATTAATGCTTTCTTAACATTTCCTTTATAAACTACTCTAACCACAGTGTTCCCCATCACAGTTAATGGCAACACCATCCTTTCAGATTGAGAAGACAAAAAAATCCAAAACTACAAACAAACTATAATTGTCTCATCTCCTTAAATCCTTAATTTTGCTTCACAACTCCCATCAATCAGATCAATCAATATGATAATCTTCATATTCAATGATTATTCCTCACCATTCCCACAATTATTATATAATTATTATTATATAATTGTCTCATCTCCTTAAATCCTTAATTTTGTACCACAACTCCCATCAATCAGGTCAATCAATATGATAATCTCCATATTTAATATGATTATTCTTCACCATTCTCACAATTATTATTCAGTTTTATCTTCATTATCTTTCCCTACAAAATTGCAGTAGCCTCCTAACTGGTCACTCCTCTCTCTCCCATTTTCACCTTAGTCCCTTTTCAATATAATACTTTACAGTGAAACATGTCAGATCACATTCCTGATGTGTTCAATTTTTTTCAATAGTTTTCCATCTCTTTTTGGTTTAAAACTAAAACATTTTTTTAAAAATAGCTTATAATATCTGACATTATTTAGCTTTGTTATTATAATAGTTGCATCTAGAACCCAGGACTAGATAAATTTAAATAGCTGTAATTTTTAGAAGTTATCTGTAATTTTTATATATCTAAAATACATATTTTAATATTCTACATTTGTTTTATTTACCTAGAATTCATTGAAACCTGTTATACTAATTTCTATTAATTGCTATACTTCACTATGTGTTTAAAATGATTTATAATTTAAGAGACATCAAATGGCACCTCTAAATTAAGGTTGATAAAAAACAACAACCAGCAATATAGTTGAAAAACAACTAGGCATTTTATTAAAAGGAAATGAAAATATCCATGTTAACAGGGTAGTTATATTTAAACACAATTAAAACTACGAAACTGAGAGGGTAAAATACTGATGATGGTCTTATAGGAAAGCAGCATGAATTACAACAATCATAGTCAAATTAATGGGTAGTCACTGTGGGTAATAAAGCAAAGTGAAGGAGCATTTCCTTACTTTGATGGTTCAGATATAGGGAAGCATTTCTTTACACTGTATTTAACTAACAAGGTGAGTTGTCTGTGGCTGAAATTTAAAAATCAAAATTTGCTAATAATTAATAACTTTGTAGCTCTAGAAACTAAGGTAGTGCTAATACAGTTTCATGCTTCAGAGAAGTAGCAATTCTACATTGAATCCAAATACATATTCAACTTTTCCTGGGCCCTGGACCTCTAGTTCAAATCTGCTGAGTACATTAATTTTGTTTTCATTACTACTCACCATCATTTTTCTTTTATTTCCTCTCTCACCCATACAATCATCTTTTGTTGGGTTACTTATGCTAAATCTATGGAACTACTTCCACTCTTGATACAATGATGCTATTTGAACTACACAAATCACTACTTGAGATTAAAATTACAGTGATTGTCCTAGTATGGTTTTTCTTTGTAGAGAATTATTGTTAGAATCCACTACTTTGGATAAACCATTTTTTTCATGGGTAAGATTCAATGAAAAGTCCACAGAGTATATAGCAACAGATCTCTGTCTGAAACTTAAAGCTGCCTCTTTAACTTTATACATGTTTTCCTGGAATGTCTAGACTCACAAAACTTCTGCTTACTAAGCTATAGAACAGATATTAACCACTTCCGGTTCTTGCACATGGCCTCTAGTTGACACATCTCATGTGTCATATATATTCTAGGAGTTAAATAAATGGTAGAAATCATAGAATATTTTCATTTTTTTCTTCAATAACACTTTTACATAAACATTAAAAATATTCCCTCTTGTATTTCAAGTATATCCAGATATGTCTTTATAGTAGTAAGAATAATAATTGATGTAAAATATGAAAAATGTAATACTAACATTGAAAAGGTAATAGTATTCATACTAGTTGAGAATAATTGAGAGGTACTCAATAGAGTGATCAGTTGTTTTCTTGGACTCTGCACTAATAAGCACATATTTTTACAGATGTTAGCAGTTTCTATTGATTTGGATAACATAGCAAGAACACAGATTTTAGTAGCAAATATACCTTGACTTGAACTTCTGTGTGACCTCTGAAAAATTAACTGAAAATTTTATAAGTCAAGCTTCAAAATCATGGATTTGAATTATAGCATCACTCTTACAAGCTGTTGTAAGGGTCAAAAGAGACAATGCAGTAGGTCTATTTCCAAAATAATAAAGTACCTGAATTTTTTTTAGTTAAATTTCCTTTTGAAGCAATCATCTTCAATTAGCGGTATTCCTGCCTATGTCATTTCTCTGTGAGGTTTTCATTTGGAGTCTTGATATGAAGCCACTTGATCTATATCACTTTTTAAAATTTAACCCCACTCTACATTATTTATAAGTCAAAATTAGACATAATTAAAATACATTGAACAGATTCCTACAAGTAATTACATTATGGTCCTATAACTATTGGCTTCCTTAGTTTTTGTTTTGTTTTGTTTTTGTTTTTGTTTTGTTGTTGTTGTTGTTTTGTTTTGTTTTTTTGAGACGGAGTCTCACTCTGTCGCCCAGGCTGGAGTGCAGTGGCAGTGATCTCGGCTCACTGCAAGCTCCGCCTCCTGGGTTCACGCCATTCTCCTGCCTCAGCCTCCTGAGTAGCTGGGACTACAGGCGCCCGCCACCATGCTCGGCTAATTTTTTGTATTTTTAGTTTCACCGTGTTAGCCAGGATGGTCTCGATCTCCTGACCTCATAATCCGCCCACCTCGGCCTCCCAAAGTGCTGTGATTATAGGTGTAAGCCACCGCGCCCAGCCACATTGGTTTTAAGAAATATTAAACAACTTTAGAGAAATTCTTCCTTTCTGCTTTATTTCTGGAAATGTGATCTTTTGCATTCCAATAATAGAAGCAGTTTGATTACACTTCCAGTGCATATCGTCAGGCTTTATCATATTCACTTTGTATCTTGCATTTGAAAATTTTTTTTCCCTACAAAATGACTTATTAAGTATGGAATTCCACTATACAAATATCCTTTTTTGTATGATTTTAATTACTCTTATTAACTTGATGTCAAAACCTGCCACGGGAAGTTTTCTAAATGTTAACTATTGTAATTTTCATCCACTTGTAAATATGTCTTCCAAATGATGACTATTCACTTAAATCTTTGTATGTAATATGGTAAATACATATATATATTATGTATAATATATAAAAATATATATAGATTTCATTTATATTTTAGCAGTTTTAAAACATAATAATTAAAACATAAATAACATTAATTGCATGATTACTCTTTCAGGACATGTTTTACATATATTGACATGTACAATGTTCACAACAATGTTATGAAGTATGCCCTCATGTTAACATTTTACAGGTGAGGAATCTAAAACCCAGACAAATAATTTTTCCAAATTATGAGATTATTAAGGTGGCAAAACAGGAATATGTACTTGCTCTAAGAGCTTTTTGGTGGAGTCTTTGGGGTTTTATATAATAAGATCTTGTCATCTGCAAACAGAGACAGTTTTACTTATATTTTTCATATTTGGATATCTTTTATTGCCCAATTACTCTGGCTGGTGCTTCCAGTACTACATTGAATAGAAGTGGCAAGAGTTGGCATTCTTGTCTTATTCCTGATCTTGGAGAAAAAGATTTCTATATGATGTTACCTCTGAGCTTGTCAGGAAAGCCTTTTATTATGTTAAGGTACATTTCTTCATATTTAATTAGTTTAGAATTCTAATCAGAAAGGGATGCTGAAGTTTTCCAAATGCTTTTCAATCATAAAATATCCCCAAAAGCCAAAGCGATATTGAGCAAAAAGAACAAGCCTGGAGGAATCACACTATTGATTTTAGAATATATTATAAAGATATAGTATAAAGACAGTATAGTACTTATAGTATCAAAGCAGGCTATATATATATATATATATATATATATATATATATATGCACGCGCACACACACACACATATATATTGTATATCAGATGAGAAAATCCTCAAATAAACCCACAGATATATGACTAATTTCTGGCAAGCATTCCAAGAACATACAATAGACAAAGGAAAGCCTCTTTAGTTAATGGGTTGGGAAAACTGGATATCCACATGTAGAATAACTAAACCACATTCTTGGCTTACACCATATGGAAAAATCTCTAAGTGGATTAAGGACTGAAACTGTAAAACTCCTAGAAGAAAATATAATGATAAAGTTTCTTGATTATAGTGATGGGCTGTGATTTTTTCCATACAACTCAAAAAGCATAGGAAACAAAAAGGAAAATAGACAAATGGAATTTCATCAAATTTTAAAGCTCCTGCACAGCAAAAAAAAAATCAATAGATTAAAGAGACAATTTATAGAGTGGGACAAATTATTTGGTAGTCATACATCTGATGATATGTTAATATCCAATATTTATAAGAAATATGAGCAACTCTATTGCAAGGAAACAAATAACCTGATTTAAAAAATAGTCAAAGGACCTGCATAGACATTTCTCAAAGAAGGCTTATGGCCAACAGATATATAAAAATTGCTCAACGCTAATCACCAGCAAAATGCCAGTCAAAACCATAGTACAAAATATATTTGTTGACAAGAATGTGCCGAAAAGGGAATTTTTGTGCATTTTTAGAAGGGAATACAATTGGAGCAGCCATGGTGTAAAATAGTATGGAGATTCCTCAAAAAAATAAATATAAAACTACTATGATGCAGCAATATCCCTTTGGAGAAAAAATTCAAAAGAAATACCATGAAATTGTAAAAGAGATATTTGCACATACATGTTTATTGATGCATTATTCACAATATCCAAGATATGGAATCGACCTATGTGTCCATTGATGGATACATGTATAAAGAAAATTACACACATGTTAAAGTAGTTTTCAATCTTAAAAAAGAAGGAAACACTGCCACTTATGGCAATATGAATGAACCTGGAGAATATTATGCTAAGTGAAATAAACTAGGCATAAAAAGACAAATGCTGCATGCTGTCACTTATATGTGGAAGCAAAACAAAATCAAATATATAGAAGCAAAGAGTAGAATAGTGATTGTGAGGAGTGGGGAGGTGGGGAAATGGGAAGATACTGATCAAAGGGAACAAAGTTTCAACTAGGCAAGATTAGTGAATACATATAATATACAGCATGGTGACTATAATTAATACTAAATTGTTTATTGGAAATTTGCTAAGACAGTAGATTTAAAAGTTCTCACAACACACACACAGACAAGATATGAAGTAATGGATATGTTAATTAGCTCCATTATACTAATAATTTCACAATGTATGCATATATCAAAACATTACATTATATACTGTCACTGTAAATATGTACATTTATTTTGTCAACTATACATCAATAATGCTAGAAAAATGTATTATAAATGTGATTAAGTTTCTGACTGAATTTGGAAAAAGAAAGTTAAATTTAATGAAAAACTAAAATTAATTAAAATTATCAATTACACAGCCTTCTTCCAGATATCCACGGGGGCAGCTTCCTCATTTTTTTTCAAGTTTTTACTTAAATGTCATTCATTTAGCAAAGACTTTTCTACCTCTTTATTTAAAAGTGACATCTAGGCCTCCACCTGCACCTTTCTATTTCAATACCCTGCCCTATTTTTCATATTCTTTGTTGCATTTATCACCTTTACTTATTTAGCATATTTGTTATACATATCTTTTTTCCTCAGATTTAATGGTCAGGCAAATTGACTCTCCCTTTTCATGGACAGGGACGAGATCACAGTGCAGAAAATGTGTTGAAAAATACCGTGGTAGACACAGTCAAATAGACATGGGCACAAATAAGCACAATAAAATAGTTAAAGAACCAATATTAAGGAACATTCAGGATATAGACAGACATCATGCATTATCTCACAAGCTGTTAGTCTAGTACAGATGACTTAGAGAGGAAGTCAAGGTAAGGTAAAAGGTATTCCAAGATCGCTGATCTCTCTAACAACGCCAATATTGTAGAAAAAGAGTCTGGTATAGTATCTACCCTTACTATCTATTATAACTGATATCAACATTAGATATACAATGTAATGCTTTGTAAAGGCAGGCAGAAAATAAAAATAAGTTGAAAGATCAACCTTCTCTCTGGGTAACATGGGATCAGAAGAACAGCTTAAAAGTTTAGAGATGTTTTTAGCAAAACAGGACCAGAGAACCCCCAGACAATAGTATTTCTCCTAGTAAAAAAAAATAAAGGATATCAGTAGGCTATTTCTGAAAAAGATGTCTGTTAAAAATACCTTCTATTCTCCGTTCTCCCAGTGTATAACTCATGAGTGTGTAAGAATCTGTAGTTTATATTTAATAAAACTTGTTCTATTTAAAGTCATATTGTATTCTGGAATAAAGTTATAGAGTGTAGTTCAGGGCTGTGAAGTGGAGAGGAGTTAATAGTGTTAATTGTTAGAGAAAATAATTTTCTTAATTTTAAACATATATTCTCAAATTTAGAAACAACTAAAAGATGGTTTGTATGGGTCACTTTGAACTAAAAATTAAAAATTGTATTACTAAAAAGAAATGTATAATATTCAAACCTCATTTAAATTTATATTTTAAAAGCATAGAGATTAAAGATGACCCTCCAGTTAAGGCTTTAAAGAGAATATATGAATCACTACTGTCAATGTGTAGCTCAATCACATGAGCAAATTAGATTTCTCAAAAACAAACAATATGGGAGAGTACGATCCTTAAAAATATTCAGTTAAGTTATAGTCAAGACAATGATATATAATTGAATCAAATTAAGGTGTTAAAATGTGTGTATGTCTGTGCATTTTTAATGCAGTTTTAACATGTACATGGAGAAAATTATGCCTGCCTTCAAGGAATTTAAACTTGATAACATGTTAAGCTGTTATAGGAGCTCTTATACAATAGATTTTATGTAGTAAGGGACATTGTAGCAGAAAGTAATCTTACTTTATTAGAAGAAAGATAATTAAATTTATTATTTGAGCTAGACTTTGATATACGAGATGTATTTTAATAGTTACAGAAATTATAAAAATATGTATTCCAAGAAAGAGTGACGTAAGAAATCCTGACACCAAGACCAAGCTGAGGCTAGGAAGTATGTAGATGGTAGTTGATATGTAGTTCAATTGGACTAAAGTTCTCTCTTATTTTTATTCTTTTCTTTATTACTACTATTATGATAATGATTTTGATTACCTAAAATGGGAAGACAAATCTGGGAAGGATATTTGGGTTGAATATAGTAATGGAAGGAGCTCCAGTTTTAATCTTTAGATTATGCTGAACCTCATAATTTTCAGCAGTGGCTGATAGTCACAAGTGTCTATAAATGAATCTAGTGCATCACTGAACATAAGAAACTAGAAATGTGTAAATTATTATAATATCCATATAATTATAATAGTCATATTAAAATTGAAGCTCATGTTACTTAATCAAGACATATATACCCAAAATAACTTCCTTAAATAGAATGTACTATTTTTATAGAAATTAATCTCAAAGCATAATAAAATTAGATTTAATGTGAAAATGGCAAATTCATGATACCATGGCAGATATTGTTTAAATTATTATTTAAGGCCTCATCCATTATTTATACTTTAATATAAAATATGTATAGAGCTATATATTTATATAATTTATTGATACCAGTGTATACAGATGCTTTTATTCTGTAAAGCAATAATACTCTTATTTAAAATGTTTAAGATGACTGATTAGAAGTATTACAAGTACATCTCATCCACTTAGAAAAACATAGTAATGTATAGACAGTATAATACTTTCAATACATTATGCAATAAAAAACATGGGAGTTCAACAGAAAAAGAACAGGAAACTCCAAAAACTAGGAAGAAAAGAAACAGGCAATTGGTGTGACTGGAATTGGCTGGGAATTCAAAGTGACTTCCCAGTACAGATAAGAATGTGTAAGTGTTTTTCTGCAGTCCACTTTCCACTGGGGAATAAGGCCATCCAGGCCATAGGAGAGCATCTTGACACTCCTAATTCCTGAATCTTAGGGAGCAGCCAAGAGACTGTGAGAAGAAACTTCTCCAGGGAGAGAAATCCCTCTGGATCCCATGCAATTTCTGAAACCTAACTGGTTATAGCAAGATGTGATCCTTATTCCTACCACTTAGCAGGCTGTGTGCAGTCCTTGGAACCTGTGGCACTATCCTATGCATTAGGGAAACAGGCTGCAATTGTGGAACCAAGACATGAGTTGGAGGTGGCTTTTACAACCAGAACTGAGAAGTAAATATAGTGTAGGCTATAGCCAGCAGTGCCGGAAGTGGGCATTGCCCCCAGGACATAAACCAGACAAGAGTTGCTGTGAACGTTTGGTCTTAAGCTGGATGGGGACTCACACAGCCTGGCCTGAGTTGCAGGCTAGATGTAATCTCCTGGGTCTGACAGCCTAGCCAGGTCAGCTACAATAGCCCAAATGGATTAGGATTGGAATGAGAAAATGACAGAAGTCCCCCATCTGCCAGTAAGATCTGTGGCCACTGGGATTAGTCCCACCCTTCCTGTGGCAGGACCTTAGCACAGTTGTGGTCACCCTTCACCCAAGCATTCTGCCAGACAAAGCTGGTGGAGACATTTGTATTTGGGACACCTGAGTAAAAAGTTACCTCACCTGGCTCTACCAGGCTGTGCCTCCTCCCGTGAGACAGGGTGTAAGATCCAGGGCCCTGGGGGCTCTACAACCCAATTCACCACCTGGAACACTGGAGTACTCTTCCCAGAGAACTGATGTTGACCATAAACCCTCTACCACTATCAACTCAGTTGGTTTCTACCTGCAAGCAACAGCTACTGGCCTGGAGGCTGACCCACACAGCCTATTGAACCACAGACAACACAAGGTTCAGTGCTTGGGAACCAGAAGAACATTTTACCACAGCTGCAACCACCATTGCACATGACATGCTGTCTGTCCAAGAGCTCGGATACCTGGAGTCACCAAAACAGGTGCCAGCATGTGTTGGCCCAAGGCACAAGAATAGACGTACTTAACCCAGCACCCCCACCACTGAAACCTGAAGATGGGCCCATCTGGTATTTTAGTTTTCAACACAACTTTACCACAGTCCCCACAACCAATAATCTGAATTGAGGAAACCACAGATACCACTACACTGCATATAGCCAAAAAAAATCACACAGATACTTCACTATGACATGCATCCAGAAGCAAAACCAAAGGACTCTACCCAACCAACATTATAGGCACATCTTCAAGCAAAAGTACACCTTAATAAAAGTAAATTCAAAAATAAGTAAATTCAATAAATAATAAAAAATTTCACACCACGTGCAGATAAATCAAAATAAAAACATAGGAAACATGAAAAGCAAAGTAGTATGACACCTCCAAGAAACAAAATAATTATCCACCTATATATCTTAATAAAAAAACTTCAAAATTTCAGATAAAGAATATAAAATATGTATTCAATGATGCACAATGGGAAGCAAGAGAAATTGAAACTAATACCAGAAAGTTAGAAAATTAATTGAGTTTGTGAATGAGAACTTTACCAAGGAGACAGATATTTTAAAAACAAGTAAACAAACAATAAACAAAAAATTCTGAAATTAACAAATTTATTGATAATAATACAAAATACATTTGAAAGCTTCAATCATAGACTAGACTGAGCAGAAGAATAAATTTCAGAACTAGGAGAGAAGTATTTTGAAATAATCTAGTTAGAGGAAAATAAAGAAAAAAATCATAGAAATGTCAGGAAACAACAGATGCTGGAGAGGATGTGGAGAAATAGGAACACTTTGACACTGTTGGTGGCACTGTAAACTAGTTCAACCATTGTAGAAGTCAGTGTGGCGATTCCTCAGGGATCTAGAACTAGAAATACCATTTGACCCAGCCATCCCATTACTGGGTATATTCCCAAAGGATTATAAATCATGCTGCTATAAAGACACGTACACACGTATATTTATTGTGGCACTATTCACAATAGCAAAGACTTGGAACCAACCCAAATGTCCAACAATGATAGACTGGATTAAGAAAATGTGACACATATACACCATGGAATACTATGCAGCCATAAAAAATGATTTCATAATTAAACAGAATGAAGAAAGACTTAAAAATCTTTGGAATAACATAAGGCAACCAAATTTATGAATTATTGGTATTCCTGAGCATGAAGAGAGGTCAAGAAGCTTTGAAAACCTGTATAAGAGTATAAAATATAAAAACTGCCCAAGTTCAGGAAGAGATTTACACATTTAGATATAAATGAAGATCAGCAATCCTCAAGCAGACAGAATCCAAGAAAGACTTTGCCATGGCACATTATAATAAGACTATCTAAAGTCAAACTAAAAAAGCAAATTCTGAAAACAGCAAAGGCATCTGGTAACCTAGATGGAAACTCTACCATACTAACAGTGGGCATCTCAGCAGAGACCCTACAGGACAGGGGGAAATTGACTGATATATTCAAAGTGCTCAAAGAAAATTTTTAAATCAATAATATAAATTCAGCAAGGCTGGTTTGCATAAATAAAGGATAAGTAGTCTTTTTCAGACAAACAAATTCTGAGGAAATTGATCCAACCTAGGATGAGCCTATAAGAAATGCTTAAGTGAGTCCTACACTTGGAAGCAAAAGGAATATATTCACCATCATGAAAACACAGAAATGTATAAAAGTCACTGATAAAGCAATCATACAAAGAAAAAGAATCAAATAGCAAGATTAAGGACTTAGAAAACCTAATGTATTAATAATAACCTTGAGTGTAAATTGATTACTCTACTTAATATACAAAGATTGGTGAATGGATTAAATAAAATGATCCAACTACATGCTGCTCATAAGAAACTTACCTTACCACTGAAGACATATAGATTATAAGGGTGAAAAAAGATATTCCATGCAAATGGAGATCAAAAATGAGCAGATTGAGCTGTACTTATATGAGAGAAAACATACCTTAAATCAAAACCATTAAAAAAGGCAAAGAAGGTTATTCTGTAATGATAAATGGATCAATATAGCAAGATAACGCAACAATTCTAAATAAGTATGCACCTAACACTAGAGCACTAAGAATCATAAATCAAATATTATTAGACCTAAAGTGAGAGATGGATGGCTATAAAATAATAGTTGGGGACTTAAAACCCCATTCACAGCATTAGACAGATTATCAGATATAAAATCAAACAAAGTTTAGGCTTAAATGATATTTTAGACAAATTAGACCTAGAAGAAATTTGCAAAATATTCTTCCTAACAACTTTAGTATATAATTATTTTCATCAACCCATAGAACATTCTCCAACATAAACCTTATTTTAGCTCACATGTGGTCTTAAGAAAGTCTTAACAAATTTTTAAAAATCAAAATCATATCAAGTATTTTCTCAGACTACAGTGTAATAAAATTAAAAATCAATACCAAGATGTACTACAGACACTATATGAATAAATGAAAATTAATAAATATGCTTCTGAACAAACATTGGATCAACAAAGAAATTAAGACCAAAAATTTTAAAATATTTGAAACAAACAAAAATAAAGACACAACATACCAAAACCACCACAAAGCAAAAGCAGTGCTAAGAGAAAATTTCATAGCATTAAATATCTATATCAAAAAGATAGAACTATTAAAAATTAACAATCTAACAACACAACTCAAGGAATTAGAATAGTGAGAAGAAACTAAACTCAAAATCAGCAGAAGAAAAAATAAAAAAGATCAAAGAAGATGGAAATGAAATACAGCCTAAATAGACCACAAAGATCAGTGAAATGTAAAGATGATTCTGTCAAAAGGTAATCAAAATTCATAATCTGCAAGTTAGAGTCAAAAAAATGAGAAAAAACCCGAATAAAGAAAATTAGAAATGAAAATATGTCCATCTGATAACACAGAAATACAAACCATCATAAGAGACTATTATGAACAACAATACACTCACAAACTGGAAAACCTAGAGAAAATGGATGAATTCCTGAAAACATAAAATCTCCCAAAATTGAACCAGGAAGAAATAGATAATCTGAAAATATCAGTAAGGAATATTGAGATTGAATCAGTAATAAAAAGCATCTCAATAAAAAAAGCCCAGCACCAGCCAAATTCTACAAAACATGTGACGAAGATGTCATTCCAGTACTCCAGAAACCCTTCCAAAAAAAATCAAGGAGGAGGGAATTCTCCCTCTTTTTATGAGCCAGTATTTCCTTGACACCAAAACTAGACAAGAATACAACAAAAAAGAAAATTATAGACCAAAATCTCCCATTAACATATGCACAAAAATTCTCAAACAAAATACCAACAAACAAAATGCAACAACACATGAAAAAGATACTACACCATGATCAAGTGGGTTTTATACCAGGGACGCAAGGGTGGATCAACATATATTAATCAAGAAATGTGATAAATCACATTTGATCATCTCAATAGATAAAGAAAAAAGCACTGATAAAATTTAGCATTTTCTCATAATACAAATCCCCAAAAACTACACATAGAAAGTACAAACCCCAAAATAATCAAGGCCGTTTGTGACAGTCCAACAGCCAACATCATACTAAATGGAGAAAAGTCAGTAGAAAGCACTGCCTCTAAAGTAGGAACAAGACAAGGATATCCAGTTTCATCATTTTTATTCAACATAGTACTGTAAACCCCAACCAGATAAATTAGGCCACAGAAATAAATGAAAGGTATCCAAATTGGAAAAAAGAAAGTAAAATTATCTCTGTTTGCCAGTGATATAATTTTACATCTAGAAAACCTTAATATTCTACTAAAATGAGAAAAAAGAAATGTCTATTGTTAGATATAAATTTATGTTGGGAAATACAATATGGAAGAGAATAGTCTGTTTTAAAAGAAGCCCAGGGAAACTACTCATATAGCCTTCACAAAAAAGTTAGAAAATTTATATATATTGGATTATTTTAGCATGTGTTTATGAAATGTATCCTTTATTAAAAGTAAAGTTATAGTATGCAGTGCTACACATAATTTCCTAGTGTTATAAATGCTAGTGTGAGTAGACAATTCTGAAATAATAAGAGGATTTTAGGAGCTACAGAAAGATGAGATAATTACATGTTAGATATCTTACTGTATTTTTCTTTTAGTATTATGGATTCTATTCCTCCGTATCTTTATTGGAAATGCTATGGCTTTGCTGTATGTCTTCCATTTGCCCAAAATGGACTATCATTTTCCACTTGCCTCTGTCCTTGGTGAGGCTGACCTGCATAGATTGCATCAGTGGGACTTCTGGCTTTCTGGTTTCTAGTTAAGTTTTGCCAGTGGAAATTACGTGCAGGAAGAAGAGAGAATTCAGAGTTTTATACCTGTTCCCCTCTGCTGGGGCTTTCCAGGTAGAGTGCTTCCCTATACTGAGGTTCAGAGCTTTTTTCAGTTAACTCTTGCCAGATGACTTTCTTTCTAGGTCCAGTAATTCCTCCCCCTTTGTTCTTTCAGGCCCAAAGTTGGTAATGGATCACTCCATTACTAACTTCAGGCTGCTGGATTACCCTTTGTTTGGTCATTTTACCTAAATCCTTTCCAACATTTTGTAAATCATTTTACTAAATTTTTCTTAATTTCAATTTGCGTATACCATCTTTTTTTAATGTCAGGACACTGCAAGTTACAATCTTGTATATTACATTTGCCTCCGTTTGAAAAGAGAAAGTGTGGAGAAAGGTGCAAGGAAGACACACTAAGAAAAAAAACGGGAAATTATGCACTATTTTTTACATTTTAAAAAGCTATCTTTTAATTCACATACAGTAAAATTTACTCTTTTGAGGGCTACAGCCCTGCAGCATTAAGTACAATATGTAAAATTGTGTAACTACCAGTGCACTTAAAATCAAGAACAGTCCCATGACCATCCAAAATTTATTTGCATTGCTCTTTGTGGTTAAATGCCATCCCCATCTCTAACCCTGGCAATCACTGATCTGTTTGCCATCCCTGTTGCTTTGTATTTTACATTTCCACAAAAATTGATTTGTAAAATATGCTGTCTTTGGGTCTGGCTTCTTTCACTTTGCCTGTTGCCTTTGAGATTCATCCATGCATTTGTGAATATTAACAGTTAACTCATCTATATTACTGCATAGTATCCATCATTTCTTTTTTTAAAATTTTATTATTATTATACTTTAAGTTTTAGGGTACATGTGCACAACGTGCAGGTTTGTTACATATGTATACATGTGCCACGTTGGTGTGCTGCACCCATTAACTCGTCATTTAGCATTAGATATATCTCCTAATGCTATCCCTCCCCACTCCTCCACCCCCATAACAGGCCCCAGTGTGTGATGTTCCCCTTCCCGTGTCCATGTGTTCTCATTGTTCAATTCCCACCTATGAGTGAGAACATGTGGTGTTTGGTTTTTTGTCCTTGCAATAGTTTGCTGAGAATGATGGTTTCCAGCTTCATCCATGTCCCTACAAAGGACATGAACTCATCCTTTTTATGGCTGCATAGTATTCCATGGTGTATATGTGTCACATTTTCTTAATCCAGTCTATCATTGTTGGACATTTGGGTTGGTTCCAAGTCTTTGCTATTGTGAATAGTGCCACAATAAATATACGTGTGCACGTGTCTTTATAGCAGCATGATTTATAATCCTTTGGGTATATACCCAGGAATGGGATGGCTGGGTCAAATGGTATTTCTAGTTCTAAGATCCCTGAGGAATCACCACACTGACTTCCACAATGGTTGAACTAGTTTACAGTCCCACCAACAGTGTAAAAGTGTTCCTATTTCTCCACATCCTCTCCAGCACCTGTTGTTTCCTGACCTTTTAACGATCACCATTCTAACTGGTGTGAGATGGTATCTCGTTGTGGTTTTGATTTGCATTTCTCTGATGGCCAGTGATGATGAGCATTTTTTCATGTGTTTTTTGGCTGCATAAACGTCTTGTTTTTAGAAGTGTCTGTTCATATCCTTCGCCCAGTTTTTGATGGGGTTGTTTGTTTTATTTCTTGTAAATTTGTTGGAGCTCATTGTAGATTCTGGATATTAGCCCTTTGTCAGATGAGTAGGTTGCAAAAATTTTCTCCCATTCTGTAGGTCGCCTGTTCTCTCTGATGGTAGTTTCTTTTGCTGTGCAGAAGCTCTTTAGTTTAACTAGGTCCCATATGTCAATAGTCATCATTTCTTTACCCTCTTGCCAGTTGAAGAAACTGGGTTGTTTCCAGCTTTGGCAATTGTGAGACAACACTGTTATAAACATTTGAGTACAGGTTTTTGAGGGCATAACTTTTCATTTCACTTGGATAAATACCCAAAATGGTATTGTTGGGTCACACAGTGTTTAATATTATACACACTGCCAAACACTTGATATTGTGTGTCAATTTCATTTCAGAACACATTTTATTGGATGAACAGTAATACTATATTTTGATTTTCATGTGCAATTTCTTGATGACTAGTGATGATGTGTATCTTGTCATGTTCCTTTTGGCCAGTGGTATATCACTTATAGTGAAGTATCTTGTCACACATTTTGCTCAATTTAAATTGTATTTTTAAATCATTGATTATAAGAGTTCTTTATGTATTCTGGATATAAATATGGAAAAATATTTGCATATAAATGTGCATATTTGTGCATATTATGTAACTATTTATTATATTTATACATATTGTGCATATTACATGTTTATAATAGTTTTATATAGAATCATGTATATGCATAAATATATTATGCATATTTAATTTTTTCCCAACTATGTGGTCATTTTATTTTCTCGTACGTGTCTTTTAAATAGCAAACTTTTTTTAGTTTTATTTTGATAATATTTATTTTATACATTTTATTTTATTTTACTTTATTGTTCATAACTTTGTGTCCTATTTGATAAATCTGTGCTTGACCCATAACTAAAAATACTTTTGCCTAAAAATGTATGTATTTTGCCTACAATTTTAAAGTTTTAACTTTTACTTTTAGTTCTATGATTGATTCTGAGCTGATTTATTTTAGCAATGAGATTTTACAGATTAAGGTTTTTAATACTGTGATTTTTAATATTGAAGAAGATTGAGGTTAATCTTTGTCAATGCAGATGTCATGCTTTGCTTTTCAGCACTGTTTTTTTAAAGACATCTTTTTCAAATGAATAACCTTTGGTATCTTTGTAGAATGACGATTTAACATGCAAATGTGGATGCATTTCTATACTTTCCACTTTGTTTTATTTGTATATGAATTCATATGCCAATAGCACACTATTTTCTTCCCCATAACTTTACAGTAAGTATTAAAACTAGGTAATGTAAGTCCTCCAAATATTTTTCTTTTATCAAATCATTATGTATATCTAAGGACCTCTGCCTTTCCATATATATTTTAGATTCAGCTCATATTTTTAAATAATTCTGCTAGAATTTTAATTAGGCTTACATTTAATCTATATATGAATTTGAGAAGAATTTTCATCTTTACATCACCAATATTCCAATTATTGAATATTTAATTCTTCACTCCAAATTTAATTTCTCATAGCTTTTTTCTTTTTAATTTTCAGTAAGCACATTTATAAACCCCTGGTTAAATTATTTTTAAAATTTTAATTTTATGCTTTTGTGAGTGATAGTTTAACTTTTATTTTCTAACTCACCATTCATATTGTGTAGCACCGAAACTGACTTTTGTGTATTAGATTTTGGTTGTTGTTACCCAATAAAATTAGTTTTCAGCTCTAGCTTTTTTTATTAATTGCTTCGGATTATCTATAGAGATGATTATGCCATCTATACAAAAAGAAAGTCTGAGTTCTTTCTTTGAAATTTTGTGTGTTTTGGAAAAAGTCAAAGAATAGTACAATGAAGGCCACAGCTTAAAAAAATTAATAATAAAAAGTTGGAAAAGTTGCCCAAAAACTTGAATGTAATTAATATCACTGAACTGTACACTTAAAATGGTTAAACTGTTAAATTTTATGTTGTGTATTTTTGACCAAAAATTTTAAAAATTTGGAAAAAATCTTATATAAAGAATAATCCTGTCTTAACCACAGTCAGTGTCATTCTTTTTATATTGCCTAGGATTGAACCTCTTGTACAAAACTGAAAAAAAATGGTGGCAATGAACATGCTTACCTTGTTCAAAATTTTAGGCTAAAATCATTAATTTCTTCAACACTGAGCATTTTTTTTCTATTTCTAATTTTCCAACGAGTTTTCCATAGAATTTGTTTAAAATTCAAGCACTTTATTTGCATTTACTTAAATGATCCTATGCTTGCTTCTCTTACATTCTCTTAACATGGTAAAGGGCATTAATTGTAATATCTGAAACTAACCTTGCATTCTTGATATAAACCCCATTATTTTTCAAGCTGTAGAATTTTTATTTTAATCAGGCTAATTTTAAACATTAGCCTGAATTTTTTTATTTTATTTGATAATAAAAAGGGATAGTCAAGATAATTTTTTCTTCTCTACTGATTTTTCAATTACTTTTCAAATTTAAAATAAGAGCAGGTAATACAGAGTCATTTTACACATCCTCTTTCAACCCATCCTTTCTCCTATTAGTAACATCTTGTACTGCTGTGGTACATTTTTAGACATGATGACCCAATATTGATTCGTTAATAATAACTAAATTCCATAGATTGTATTAGGATTCGAGCTTTGTGTTGTACAGTATTGGTTTCAATAAATTCATAACATTAGGTATTCACTATTACAGTACTATATAGAATGGTTTTACTTTCCTAAAAAATTATTGTGTTCTACATATTCATCCCTCCTTCACTACTCTCCCTCAAAAAACTGGCAACCACTGACCTTACTGTTTCTGAAGTTTTGCCTTTTCCAAAATGTCATAAGGCTAAACACATAAACTATGAAGCCTTTTTAGTCTGGTCTTTTGTATTTGGAAATATACATGTAAGATTCCTACATGTCATTTTCAACTTAATAGCTCATTTCTTTAAAAAATTTTTCTATGGATAATAGTTCATATGTATAAGGTATGTTTGATGTTTTGTTACAGGTATAAAATGTATAATAAATAAATCTGCCCAGTGCGGTGGCTCACGCCTGTAAACCCAGCATTTTGGGAGGCCGAAGGGCGTGGATCACGAGGTCAGGAATTCAAGACCAGCCCGGCCAAGATGGTGAAACCCTGTCTCTACTGAAAATACAAAAATTAGCCAAGCCTGATGGTGGATGCCTGTAATCCCAGCTACTCGAGAGGCTGAGCCAGAGAATAGCTTGAACCCGGGAGGCAGAGGTTGCAGTGAGCCAAGATCGTGCCACTGCACTCCAGGCTGGGTGAGAGAGTGAGGCTCCATCTCAAAATAAAATAAAATAAAATAATAAATAAATAAATCAGGGTAGAATTTCCATCACCTTAAACATTTATAATTCATTGGAATTAGGAACATGCCAATTCCATTCTTCTAGTTATTTAAAAATATACAATAAATTATTATAATTTTTATTATTGAGACAGCTACTTGGGACACTGAGGTAGGAGTATCACTTGAGCCTAGGAGATTGAGGCTAAAGTGAGCCATGATGGCACCAACTGAACTTTGGCCTGGGTGACAGAGTGGAACACTGTCTCAATAATAATAACAATAATAATTTATTGTATATTTTAAAGTAAAAAAGAATGGGGTCTCACTATGTCGCCCAGGCTGGTATCAAACTCCCGGGGTCAAGCGATGACAGATGTGACTCATCATGCCTGGCACAATAAATTATTAACTGTGATTGCCGTATTGTACCACCAAACAGTAAATCTTATTTCTCCTATCTAACCGAATGTTCCTATCCATTAAACAACACTTCTTTACCTCCCTTCCCACTCAGTCTCTAGTTGCCATCATTCTACTCTCTATCTCTATGAAATCATTTTTTTTTTTTTTAGCTCTCGCATGTGAGTAAGAACATGTGATATTTGTCTTTCTGTGTCTGGCATATTTCATCTAGAATAATATCCTCCTGTTCAATCCATGTTTTTGCAAATGACAGGATTTCATTTTTTATGACTAAATAATACTCCATTGTGTATATATACCACATTTCCTTATCCAGTCATCCATTGATGGACACAATTTTATTCTATAATTTAGCTAGTGTGAGTAGTGCTTCAATAAAAATGGGAGAGAAGCCAGGGCCAGGCATTGTGGTTCCCACCAGTAATCCCAGCACTTTGTGAGGCTTAACTGGGAGGATCACTTGAGCCCAGGAGTGCAACAGGAGCCTGGGCAACATGGTGAGATACCATGTCTACTTCTTTTTTCTTTGTTTTTTTTTTTTTTTTTTTTTTGCTTAATTGCCAGGTGTGGTGACAAGCACCTGTGCTCTCATCTTCTCAGGAGACTGAGGCAGGAGAATCACTGGAGCCCAGGAGTTTGAGGCTGCAGTGAGCCATGTTCACACCGCTGCACTCCAGCCTGGGCGACTGAGAATTTGTCTCAAAAAAATTGTACTACTAATTAAAAAATTAAATAAACATAGGAGCAAATATACTAATTATTTTTTTTCTTTT